>NT_167247.2:1003711-1172174 GCF_000001405.40 Homo sapiens
TCTTCTTAATCAGGAAAGTCCAAAGCACTCCCTGTCCTCTCCCTCATATCAGACTTCAGCTCTGCATCTGCAAGATGCAGAGGTCCTCTGCAAGGCAGGTGTCTTCCCACAGGGTCAGCCCCTAAACACTGGCTGCAGATGTCCCCCTCCATCCCTTCCCAGCCCTTTCTGTGTTGCTGTGAATCGTCCATCACCGAGAACTGGTGGGGAGATGCGGGGGAGGTGGGGAGATTTCTTTGTGCTGTGTCAAGGCATCAAGACAGACCTCTCCTTCTCTCTTGAACCTCATACTCTATCCCTTCCCAGACACTTGAAATAAAACACAGACCAGAAATGTCTACTTAAAGGGTAAATTTCTATAGTATAAAATTATGAAGACATAGTAGATATGAGGTAATGCATGAGAGTGTGACAGGGTGAGGGGACCTCAAGGTGCCAGGAAAGCTGGTCCTGGGCTCCCCAGAAGGAGCTGTAACCAGGACACTCACTCATAAATCTCATTTATAATAATAATACAATGACCGCATATGTAATATATTAAAATATAATCAAATGATAACAAAAATAATGTGGCACAGCTGCAAACCCCTCATATATACTAACGCTTTTCATCCACCCAACCACAAGAAATAAATGCTGTTAGTTTCCCCATTTCATAGATGAGGAAACTGAGGCACCAAGTGGGAAAGTGCTGGTGAGACCTGGGCAGGGAGTTGAATTCTGGCCATCTGGCTGCAGAGTGTAGCTGCCCTCAGTGGAGCCAGTAGACCCAGGAGTTGACACCAGAGACTGAAATCCCAGCTGTGCACTGCCCTGGTGGTCTCCTGTCCCAACCGGGCGTTGATCCGGGCCTTGCAGGCTCACGTGCTCTGGAGAAAATAGAGAAACCAATAAATGCTCCCCTGGGTGCAGAGTGCTGCTTTTTACTCCCTGAGGATTTCTCCCTCCTCAGTCACTCCAAAATCAGATTTACCCTTTCTCTGAGGGAAGATGATGCTCCCACATTTTTCTCCCTCCTATGGCACTTTTCCCAGCCCCTGCCAGTCCCCTCCCATGACTTCATGAAGATCAGCACTTGCCCTGTGCCCACTATGCACTCTGTAGGGACTGAAAGGGCCGCAGGACTAAATGACAAGACTCCAGAAGAAACTCAGTGCCCTCCCCTCCTCTCAAGCCTGGCCAGCTCGGACACAGTGGGAGGCCTCCCCAGAGAGAGGCCCTGGCTCCACGTACTTCCAGGCCTGGGCTGGGTCACACACAAGGCCTTTCTCTCCCTCTTTCCCCAGGCCCTCCTTTCCTGCAGAAGCACCTGCACACCAGGGCAGGCCCTGCCCACTGTGGGTTCCGCCCTCCACCTACAGCTCAGTGTTCCTCCCCTTCCAGTCCTGAGCAGGCAGCTCCTACCTGGAGAGCCCACCAGGAAGCCCAGCAGGCCTGTCAGGCCCAGGATGGAAACACGTGGCTGCCATGGGGTCTGCACCTGACCTGACCCTGGAGACCCCCTTGCTCAAGAAGGCTCTGCTTCCCTTGACACCCAGGTCCATGACCTGCACTTGGGATGCCCTGCTCCTGCCTGGTCCACTCATCCCTGGAAATCCAGCTCCACCCCAGGGCTGCTGCTTGGTGAGGCTGCAAGGCCTTCCTGTCTGGTTCCTAGCAGGGATTCCACCCAGGCCACTGCCCTCACACCCACAGAGGATCTTCTTCTTCTCCCTATGGAATAAGGGATTTCTTGAGACCCCTCAGCCTGAGGCTGCCTCCGCCCACTCTGCACCTGGGGATTGCCACAGCCACAGCCACCATCTCCCACATGGACCCTTCTAGAGAGAGAGTTTCAAATTTGAATTCCTGTTCCATTCAATATGCTTTACAGCATCGGTATTGGAGGAAATCCTATTAAGAATATCCAGCTGAAATTATGAACATCTTTATTGGACATCAACATTGAAAGCAGGAATTTTGGGAAATTAGCATGTGATTTTCACAACCTTTTTCTGGCCAATGCCCCAGTGACCTACAAGGAAACCTTTACTGCCCACAGGGAACCAGAACTGACAATTCCTCTACGGCAGATGCTGCAGGTGAGAGCAGGAGCAACCAGACCTGCACTGCCCCTGCTGTGGGTGCCCCAAAAAACATGGTCCTGGGGACTGTGTTCCTGGGGGCTAGACAAGGTAACACTTGGACATATGATGAAAACAGGGACCACAGCTGCCCTGACAAGGAGCTGGTTCCTGCTTCCCAAATGGCCCAGGGATGTCTGCTTATATACTCCTCCATAACATCTGCACAGAAACTCAGGGAGGCAGGGCCATGTGGTGGGAACCTCCAGTGATGCAGAGGACATGATACCCCCAAGATAGCTCCTGGAGGAGGCCCATGGGGAGCTGCAAAGTGGACAGAGATGGCTGTGTGCACTCAGGACCCCCCCTGTTACAAGGGGACCTCAAAGGGGCTGCACAGGCAGGCCTCCCAGTCTGGGCTTCGTGGGTCTTTTTCTTGGTGTCCTCCTGATGGCTGGAGAAACAGGAGAGAGGGATGCAGAGAGGAAGAGACTAGGGGCACCGCCTCTCCTCGGATTCCTCTCCAGTTTCTAGCCCCTCCCCAGATCACAGCCGCCTTTACTATTTACTCCCACTGAAGCCATGATCATCCAGGCCCTCAGCAATCAGCACGTGATTCTCAACTCACCCCACCTGGACGCACCGTGGTGAGCCCAAGAAACAAGAGAGACCAGGATGGGGACAGAGCAGGTGCCACAGCCCTCCCTGCTGCCCACTCCTCACCTGCAGCAGGAGGAGGCCACCGCTGGACATTTGAGGGCCGTGGCCCAGCCCTGGCTTGGGCAGGACTTAGGGGTGTAGATGGAGATGTGGCTCCCATTCCCCTCCCAAATACCCCAATGTCCATCCCCTGTTCCAGGACCTTGTTACCTACATGTCTATCTGTGCAGGAGCTATGAGGGGACCCTGCTGCCCAGAGAGGAGTCCTTCCATCTCCAGCCACTGCCCCGTTTTCTCACCTGGACTCTGCAGCTGATGTTGTCTTCTTCTTGCACCAAAGGACACAGAGAATACTACTACTACTACTACTAATAATAATAATGACAGTAGCAATAGCAGCATACAGAATGGCTGCCATTGACTCTGAAGCACCAGGGCCTTCTCTAAAAAAAGGGCCTTGTGACACACTGAGCACGCAAAGCCACAGCCGTCCCTGCTATCCCCACCCTGGCCTGACCTCCCTAGGTCGAAACCCTTGAGAGTTGCCCCTGGCTCACCAGAGGGCACAGGGTGAGTGCTGTGATTCCCTCTGTGTCCCATGTAGCAGGTGAACCTCTGCTCCTCTCCTCGGGGAATCCTGGTGGCCATGCAGGTCTGGTAGGTCCCATTCCCATTGGGCAGGACACCCCTAGACTGCTGGGCATCCTGGCTCAAAGATGCCTCATCCTGATGCCAGGTCAGAGAGATATTCCAGGGATAGAAGATGGAGGCCAGCACATCATGGTGACATTGCCTTCTAAGGCCCCACTGTGCATCTCATTCACTGTGGGGGTCATTGGAGACAAAAGGGCAGAGCCAGTGAGGCATGTGGCCAAGCCTTTCTCCCCTCTAAGGGAGATGCAGGGAACAGGACTGGTCCTCTCTATTGTTCTGACTCTCGCTGAAACCCACACTGACCCCAGACCTTCTGCAAATCGGTCCTTACCTGGGGTCCAATTCCCCTAGGCTTGCTGGAAGATGGGCCTCAGGACTGTGGCCTCACACTCTGGGACTCCGGCTTTGATGCTGAGGAGAGGGTTGTCAGGGGTGGGCTCCTGGGTCGTGGGGCTAGGAGGTAGCTCTCCAGGATGGGCAGGCTGGGAGGCAGATGAGGCAGCCCTGGCCTTGAGGCCTTCCTTTCCTGCCTAATGCCCACCCCAGGTTCAGGCTTCTATAGGAGGACCCACTACTTTCACGTACCTGTTTTTCTGATACCTCCAGAATTTCAGATATCACCATAGCTTTTGCATGTAGTCTGCCTGCACAGGGCAATAGTGTGTCTTGGTCTGCATGGCATTTTCCTCCCAGAAATTTGTGACATTCATAGCCAAAGTCTGAGCTCTGGAGGACCGGGGCACTGTCCATTACTGAGTCTCCAGGTTGGGAGAGAGGAAGAGCTTCCCATATGTGTAGAAATGCCTAAAGCCCCTGGTGCTGCTGGCTTCCTGATCTCACAAACCCTAATCTCCTGGAGGGAATGCAAGGCTGCCTGCCCCTACCCAGCAGTGACTTCTCCATTCCAGTCCAAGTGAGGAACTCGGACCAGGAAGGACCCCTCCCTGGCCCTCTTCCATCCCTCCCTGTGTGGGCTGAGCCCCGCTGAGCACCATTCCTCACCCCTACTCACAGCCAAATCCAGTGGGAAGAGACAGGTCCTGCTCTCTGCCCCCAACTCTCCTGGAAAAGGCCTCTCCCATTACTCTTGCCCACTGCCCACTCTCACCTCCTTTCTGGCCCTTGATATGAGCCAGGGTCCTCCTGAGCTCCTGCCCATTCTCTGTCAAGTCTTCAGTCTCTGTGTCCCAGGTCTCAGCTCCCAGGACTGCTTCTGCCCACTGTCCCCAGGGCCCTGCCCTGCCTTTCTGCCTGTCACAGAGCAGGAAGAGCTGACCATCCAGATGTCCCTCAGCGAGAAACCCTGACTGCACAGATCCATCCTGGGACAGCACCGTGAGGTTGTAACAAAGACTGTGGGGCTCTGGGGAAGAGGAAATCACAGATGAAACTTCTTCCTGGAAGTAACTTCACATCAATGTTTAACACACAGGTCTGCTGTCCCGACCTTCCTGAGGAGGCAGGAAATGCACACGGGCAAAGGGACAAGAATGAGGATTTCAGACGCAAGGAAAACTGGGAAGGTGGGAGGATAGAGGAGGGGACTGAGGAACAGAAGAAGGGGGAATGGGGATGGCAAACTTGTAGGCCAGGTGCCAGGGCAGGGCAGCCACAGGCCCCCTCAGGGTATAGGGAGGAGGCCAATGGAAGGGGCTGCCCTGCAGGTTCAAGGGAGGAGCATGAAGGCAGTGGTGGAAGGAAGGTCTTGCCAGAGGGGAGAGCAGAAACTGTAAGGGACCCAGGCTCAGAGGGACCCATGACCACCATGGCTGTGGTGCACAGGTGAGGGTGAGATGGAGGCAAGGTCCACTGCCTTTGAGGAAGGCTCAACATGGACAAGGTGGGGGCAAGGGAGACTTGGCTGTGAGGCAGGAGGGGCAGGTAGGCTGTGGTGCCAGAGACGTTTTCTACGAGGTCCGTATCCCAGGGAGAAGCAATGGTGTGGGCTTCAGAGTGGCATGGCAATGCCCCAAGTAGGGAGGTGGATGGACCAGTTGGTGTCCCCTGGGGTGGGCTGGTGGCAAGGGTCTTAAAGAGTCAGTGCATCTTTTCAACAAATGGTGCTAGGAAAACCAGATGTTCACATGCCAAAAAAAAAAAAAAATGAAGTTGGATCCCTAACTTACACCACATATGAAAATTAACTAAGAAAAACATCAAAGACCTAAACTCAAGAACTAAAACTGAAAAACTCTTACAATAAAACATAGGGAATTATCTTCATGCCATAGAATTTGATAGCACTTTCTTGGATATAACACCAAAGATACAACAACAAAGAAAAAATTGATAAATTGGACTCATCAAAATAAAAAAGTTCATTAAAAACACAATAAACACAGTGAAAAAGCAACCCCCAGAATGAAAGAAAATATTTGCAAATCATATATATCTGATAAGAGATTAATATCCAGAATACATAAAGAACTCCTACAACTCAAACAGGAGACATTCAACTAATACAAAAGTAGGCAAAGGACTTGCATAGCCAATTCCCCAAACAAGATGTACAAATGGCCAACAGACACATGAAAAGATGCTCAGCATCAGCAGTCATTAGGGAAATGCAAATCAAAACCACAATGAACTATTACTTTACACCAATTAGTTTGGCTATTATCAAACACACACACACACACACACACACACACACACACACACACACACACAGAAATATCAAGTTTGGCAAACAGGTTGCGAAACTGGAACCTTTGTGTAATGCATTTGGAAATACAAAATAGGGCACCTGTTATGGAAAACAGTGTGTTGATTCCTCCAAAAATTAAAAAATGAATTACCAGCTAGGTGTGGTGGCTCACGCCTGTAATCCCAGCACTTCGGGAGGCTTAGGCAGGCAGATCACGAGGTCAGGAGATTGAGACCATCCCGGTCAACATGGTGAAACCCAGTCTCTATTAAAATACAAAATATTAGCCGGGTGTGGTGGTGGGCACTTGTAATCCCAGCTACTTAGGAGGCTAAGGCAGGGGAATCACTTGAATCCGGGAGGCGGAGCTTGCAGTGAGCCGAGACCGCGCCACTGCACTCCAACTTTGGCGACAGAGGGAGGCGCCGTCTAAAAAAAAAAAAAAAAGAAGCAGTTGGACACACGGCCTGTGTTGGGTCTGGGTAGAGGAGGACAGATGTGCAGGGCAAGGACTGGAGGATGGGGTGAGCATGGTGTGGGGGTGAACCTGGGGGAACTTTGGTTAGGGTGAGGACAGGAGGGGAGGGTGCTCTGAGTGAGGGTGGGGCTTGGGAAAGATGAGAACTTGCTGAGGGCCCAAGGCAGCTGGGCAAGAGGTAGGAGCAGCACAAGGTCCCAAGGCGGAGAGGGGCGGAGGGACCAGGGAGGGATGGTCCAGCACCCGTGGGCTGGAGTGGGGGGTCCTCAAGAGGGTGGGGCTGAGGATGAAGGAGTAGGGAAGGGGCCACCGTGAGGCAGGGCCCAGAGCAGGCACCTGCACTAGAGGGGAGGGGGCATCTGCCCTGCCCTGTGCCCTGCCTAAGGCCCAACCAACATTAGCACTAGGGCTCCCCTTGGGTGGTCTAGAGGGGAGTGGGACGGAGGGAAGACCCTGGGACAAAAGGCGGCACCAGAGAGTTAGGGTCAGGGAGAGTTGGGAGTGGGAGGCATAGGGGCAGCCCTGGGTTAAGGCTGCTTCTAGGAAAGGCCCATAAGGGAGGCAGGAGGGACCTGCGGTGGCGGGGGCAGGGGATGAGGCAGAGGACATCCTAGAAATGTATCAGAGAACTGCAGATAGGAAGGGGTAACAGGGAGCTGGGAGGGCAACAGGACCCAAGGTGCCCTGAGGGCAGGGGAGGAGGTGGGAGGGAATCTGGTGTCCTTAGATCACTGGAGTTAATAGTAGCAGGGAAGGATGCAAGACAAGAGAGGATCCCCGGCAGCGGGAGGCCAGGGGAGAATGAGCTGGGGATGAGAGAAGTCGCAGGAAGAATCCTCTGCCCGGAGCCTGCAGACTCCAACCCCTCAGCGTGAGGGTCAGGAGCCCCACAGTCCCCACAGCAGCAGGAAGCACTAGCTCCGGGTCCCGAGAAAGGAGGGCCCCAACTCCAGGAGATGCGGCCCAGGAGCTGAGAACACGTCGGCTCCGGGAGAGGACAGGGCTTCAGGGACCTTAGGGCCGCCCCCAGCACCGGGGGAGGTGGCTGCCTCAGCGGCCGCGCTGGAAGGGCCCTCGAATGCCATTCACAGGAGCAGCCCAGGAACCCAGGGGCCTCAGAAAGACTGGTTTGTCCGAAAAGTGAGAGGAGACGGAGGAGAGGAGAGGAGAGAAAGTGCAGGACAAGACCAGAAAATGCAGGGGGCGGGTGATGAGCGATCCCGAGGAGGACTGAAAAGAGACGTGGAAGCAGGGTTGAGGTGTGGCGGGAACGGGCCGCGTCCACTCCCCGCACCCCCGACAGCGCACCTGAGCCCCGCCTCGGCCGCACAGCGCTCGCCGCTACCCACCCGGACCCCCAGAAACGCCCCGCCGCTGCCGCTCCGCCGAGGACCGCCAGGAACCCCACTTACCAGCAGCAGCTCCCTGGGGTGCAAAAAGGGCAGTGCGGATCAGGAACAGCAGGACTAGGCTCATCTCCATGGCCCAGACTTTGCTTTCCTCGCAGTGGCTCAAGCGGCTGCCAACCCAGCGGAGCCGCGAAGGCCCACCAGAAATTTCCTGTCACCTGGCCCCACCCCAGCGACCGCTCACCCAATGAAAACTGGCGCCCGCAGCTTAGGGCCAATCACGAGCTGGGAGGGCGGGGCCACACTCAGAAGGGGAACGTTCCAGCGGTCAGGAGACCTGGAGAACTTTGGCTGGCGGGACCTGGAGCCCAGAAAAGGGGGAGCGCGCGGAAGCGCCGCCAAATGCGGGGACTGGCTCCGAGCAGCTGAGAGTACAGCCCCAACCGCATGAGCACGACCTGGGCCCTGCCGCCCTCCCTGTATTGCGACCACCCCATCCCCGCACCCCCACCCCTAGGATAGCGTGCCTCACCAAGACCGTTTCGCCAGCCACCCCATCAAGCTGACTGTCATTCGCTTGTTCTTTCCAGGACACACTTACAGAAGAGACGAGGCCTGGTTATTCTTCCAACACACTCCCCTCAGCCGCGCACAGCGTTACTGGCTATGTGGCCAGTGACCAGATTTGCAGACCTGTTTCCAGACCTCAGCTACCTCTGTTTCTGAAGCACCTGCCCCAGCTGATCCGCTAAGACGACAAATCTCTCAGACGTTTCAGCTTTACAATCTCCTTCTCCTCCCTTTTACTCAAAGCTAGGTCCCCTTTCTTATGGTCACTTCCTGTAAGTGTGTGAGGTCTCCCGGGGCTGCCTCTCTATTCAGCCCCTGGGTGATCAAAAGGCCAAGGAGGCAGCTTGCCAGTGTCCACTCCAACACCAAGCTCTCCCCAGACTCCCTTTTCCAGCCTGCTTTAGGACATCTGTACCTCTGAGACCATAGTAGCTTCCAATGTGACAGGTCTACAAGGACACTCTACACGTCTCGCATGACATCATCCTCTCTTCCTCCCCTGTTTCTCTTTCCGTGGTGCCTTCTGATTTCCCCCTTTTCCTTCTCAAGTACTCAAAGCTCCTCCAACCCTATTTTGATCCCACAGCCACTACTTTAGTCTCGGCTTTCAGCCTAGATCACTGCACAAGATTCAGCCTAGATCACTGTACAGGCTTCCTAAACACTGTGACTGTCCCAGCTATAGTCAGAGTGCTCTAAGACCCCCACAGCACCCCATCTGCTGAATGTCACACGTGAGGTCTCTACCATGGAAGCCACAGCTGCCACAACCTCCTGTCTGTCACCACCCCCATTTCTCTGGTGACATCCCTCTTTCCAGTGTTGCAGTAAAAGTGGGCTCCCCAATCTCCTTGCCCTGTCCCACCGGGATGCCACTGCCTAAGCAGTCTCCTGCTTCCAGATTACTGTCGCTTCTGCCTCTGAGCCCATTAGACCGTGTCACATCCTTAAATCTTCCCAATTAGGCTGGTCAGAGTGTAGTGGTGTTTACAACTAATTGATCACAACCAATTACAGATTTCTTTTTTCCTTCTCCACTCCCACTGCTTTACTTGACTAGCCTTTAAAAAAAGAAAATCTTCCCAATTAGATAATAGCGACTGTGGCACGATGTTGTGATTATGCTAAAAGCCACTGACCAGTACATTTTTTTTTTTTTAACCAGGAACACATGCACTTTATTGAATGCCATTGTAGAAGAGTGTGTGAGGATAAAGCGCTGATACAGAACTCAGCTCTGGGGCCAGGACGAGGAATGGAAGTTGGAGTATGTGGAATACAGGTCATGGGCAGAGCTCCTGGCCTGGATGATGCCTCCTGATCTATCGACAGACTTGGAAGATCAACACTAGGATGATGACGGTGAGCAGAATGGTCATGATGATGCACACAATCAGGGCTCAGATGTTCAGGTACTTGGCAGTGGAGGCATAGGCCTGGGCCCCAGTCAGGTCTCCAACCATCTTCCTGTCCCTAGACTTCAGGGAGTAGGTGAATGCTATGAATCCCAGGCAGTGGGGGTTCATGAAGAGGATGTTGGACAGGGACCAGACAACATAGTCAGACACGGAGGTCTCGCTGCAGATATGGATCATGGTGGACATTGGGGGAGCAGGGTTGTGGGGCGCCCCCAGCACAGCCACCTCATGCTCCTCCTTGAGCATCTCATAGCTGGGGTTGGGGGGCGGGGGAGGGCAGCCACTGTTGGCAGGAATGAAGAAGGTTTGGGCAGTGTGGTTCATGGTGTCCAGCAAAGACCAGCTGTGGTCAGGTTGCTGGGATGGTTCTGAGTGGGCCCTGGACTGTACATTTTTAAATGGTAAATTACGTGGCACATAAATTATATCTCGATAATAAAACACCATGCAAAAGCCTCTTTCTACTGAAAGAATCATCTCGTCCCCAACACACACGTCTCTTACTCTTTGGAACATCTAGCCAGTGGTCCTCAAACCTAGCCACTTCACAGAACCACCTGGAGAGTTTTTAATATCCACGGTCCCAGGTCACAGCCAAAACCAATTGAATCAGTAAGGCTAGGTTGGACCTAAGCTTCAATATCTTTTAAAGCTCTCTACGTGCTTCCAATGTGTAGGCAAGTTTTAGAACCACTGTTCTAGCCCATGGTTTGAACCTCCCTGATGGGTACCAACTTTGCCTGCATTCTTGAACTCCATCTACTATTTATTTATTTATTTATTTTTAAGAGGGGGAGATCTCACTCTGCCGCCAGTTGGAGGGCATCAGTGTGATCACAGCTCACTGCAGCTTCAGATGCCTGGGCCCAAGCAATCCAGCCACTTCAGCCTCCTGAGTACCTGGGACTGTAGGTGAGTGCCACCATGCCCAGCTGTCATCTACCATCTTGTACCATCCCTCACTACACGATGAACAGTCCATGATCTGGAACTGTGTTCATTCTATCTTTGTCACTCTTACAAACATTTTTTAAAACTGAACTATACCTATAATTACTAACCATTCCTCTTAAAACTCCTAGCCTACACATTTCTGTGAGTGAAAATTTAAGCATCACAGGGTTTTAACAATTACTTAGATTTCCCATCCACATTCACTGATTATTTATTTTGATCATCATAATCTATTGCGCACAGCAGGGACTGGGGTCCTGTCCCCACCTTAGGGGGATTATTTACACTCCTAAAGATTACAAGAGTAGTGAGGGGCAGAGAGGTGGTCTCAGCTCTCCTGACAGAGGTCTCCCTTCCCTCCACAGTGTCTACCCTCCCTCCAGGACGACCTTCCTCCCTGTGCCAGCTCTAGCAAAGGGTCTCATTCAGCTCACCCCAAAAAATACTTTTAATACTTAAATAACGACAATAATAATAATATACAAGGTTAGTTCCAAGGCATGTAGAGGTGATGGCCAGCAGAGGTGAAGCCAATCCACCCTTTCTGGGCTAGGGGAAGCCCAGATGGTCTTCCGCTCGGGGTGAGGCACTCCCCAGGGTCCAGGCCTGGCTGCCCGTCCCCCACCAAGTCTCCCAGGCCTTCTGTCCAATGCCCTCTCCCTCCACCCCACCTCCAGCCCCTTCTGCTCTGCCCCATCAACTACGTTTTCTTCCTCAGGACTCGCCTTAGACCTCTGAACTCCGGGGCACAGAGGCGACTTCCTCCTCGCAGACTTTAGGCGCCACTGCTGGGTCCGGAAAAGAAAGAGAAAGGACCCAGTGCGGTCGCTTACAGAACCCAGGGCGGGGTTGGGCTGGGCGCCCGCGCGCGTTTTCAAGCCTGCGGCCCGGAGTTCACTGCGAGGACTGAGATCACCCGTCACCCCGCCCTGGTCTACAAGTGTTTGCTGATATAGAAACGGAATAACGGCGCTGTGGGCTGGGGAGGACGGAGTTGCCTTCAGGCTTCTGGTCTCCAGCCGCGGGGCACTCACAGCTGCCGCTGTGAAAATGCAGACCTGTGGGGCAGGAATTCCGAGTCCGGGGTGGAGCGCGATGTGGAATCTGACTCGCTTGAAACAGCACCGCGGTGGATTCGGATCCGGGTGAGTAGGGAAATGCGCCTCAGCCCCTCCCACGGGCCGCCCACGGATTCCAGGATCCGAAAACGCTTCCAGCTGCTCCGCCACCCCAGGAAGGCAGCGCCTGCCTCTGGGCGGTTCTGACGGAAACTGGCTCCTCCGCCTGCAGGAAAACTCACAACTAAGGGGCCAGGAGAAAGCCTCTCAGGGTCCCGCCCCTTCAGTGAGGATCCTAAATTTACATCCCGAGTGTGGCCCCATCAAAGACTGGAGCGACGTTGACTGAAATGATACAAGACCAGCAGGGGCGCAGGGCGCTGCGGCCCTCAGAATGCGGTGACAGCGCCGCCTCGCGTCCCTTCCCCGACCTGCCCCAGGCGGACGCGGTGACGTGTGTTGGCCTCGAGGCTGGAATACACCGGGGATCAAGTGCAGAGAAGGGAGAAAGTAGGGAAGGATGGCTGGAGGGTGGGGGTGGGGGGAGCGTGTTGAAGAAAAAAGGGAAGAGAGAGGAAGGAAAGAGGAGAAAAAAGGTGAAGAAGAGAATAACATTTAAAATATAGAGTTTTATTATTTCTAACTTTTATTTTTGGTTTTTATCTAGTTTTGGTATGTATGAATATTCTTAACATAGCTTTATCTCTGTCTCTCTCTCTGAATCTGTAAATATACAGTAATATATATACACACGTAAGCCTCTACCTGCCGATGTGTCAGGCTGTGTCTCTTGGGCACAAAAACAAGGTTTTTGTTTTGTTTTGTTTTACATAAGCAAAGTACAAATCTCAAAGAAGATATATTTTAAAAGCCATTTTATTGGGACTTGCTTTGCATACAATCAAATGTATCTAAAATGTATCTATTTGAAATGCATAGCTCGTTGTGTTTTGGCTGTTGTACACACCCACATCTCCACTACCACAATGAAGATGTAGAACATTTCCATCGTCCTCCAAAGAACTGCTATGCAATACAATTTTATAGGGTCAATAAAAGAGGTAAGATCAGTTTTAAGTATTGTTATGAGAAGATGTGTGCGTCTCATACTT
This sequence comes from Homo sapiens, assembly GCF_000001405.40. Taxonomy (NCBI): domain Eukaryota; kingdom Metazoa; phylum Chordata; class Mammalia; order Primates; family Hominidae; genus Homo; species Homo sapiens. The sequence goes on from NT_167247.2 coordinate 1,016,675, forward strand.
TTAACCATTTTTTAAAAGATGAGGATATACTGAATTATAATGCCAGTAATACCACTTCCATAATGTATATTTTAAGTAGGGAAAAACCTGGAAGATTTCTCACCAAAGTTTTTTTTTTTTTTTTTTTTTTTGAGACAGAGTCTAGCTCTGTCGCCCAGGCTGGAGTGCAGTGGCGCGATCTCGGCTCACTGCAAGCTCCGCCTCCTGGGTTCACGCCATTCTCCTGGGTTCACGCCATCCTCCTGCCTCAGCCTCCCGAGTAGCTGGGACTACAGACGCCCGCCACCACACTAATTTTTTGTATTTTTTTGTATTTTTTTTTTGGTAGAGACGGGGTTTCACCGTGTTGGCCAGGATAGTCTCGATCTCCTGACCTCGTGATCTGCCCGCCTCGGCCTCCCAAAGTGCTGGGATTACAGTCGTGAGCCACCACGCCTGGCCTTTTTTTTTTTTTTTTTTTTTTTTTTTCTGAGACGGAGTTTCGCTCTTGTCGCCCAGGCTGGAGTGCAGTGGTGCGATCTTGGCTCACTGCAACCTCCACCTCCAGGGTTCAAGTGATTCTCCTGCCTCAGCCTCCCTAGTAGCTGGAATTACAGTCACTCGCCACCACACCCATCTAATTTTTTGTGTTTTTAGTAGAGATGGGGTTTCGCCATGTTGGACAGGCTGGTCTCGAACTCCTGACCTCAGGTGATCCACCCGCCTCAGCCTCCCAGAGTGCTGGGATTACAGGCGTGAGCCACTGAGCCCTCACCAAAGTCTTGACAGTGACTCCAGGGACTACGATAACTTGGTGATTTTCACTTTCTCTGAAATGTTGGAATTTTATATTACAGTATTAACTTGGATTTGGCTTGGCCCGGTGGCTTGTACCTGTAATTTCAGCTCTGGAAGGTGAGGCAGAATTGCTTGAGACCAGGAGTTCGAGGCTGCATTGAGCTATGATTGTGTTACTGCACTCCAGCCTGGGTGACGAATGGAGACATTGTTTCAAAAAAAGAAAAATAAATGCAATTAAAAATAAAAATAAACCTGAATTTGTATGGAGGTTAAGGAAGAGTATATCTCAGTTTGAAACATTATGAAGCTAAGCCCCAAACCCAAATAGTTAGAGATTTTTAAATACCAAAGTGTTAATTAAAACTCAACACCAGAAACTCTCTTTTAAGAGTATCCTTCATATTTTCATGGCATTGACTCTTTCTTAGTGTCTTTGACAGAAATGTTTTTAGTGGAGTAGAGATACATGTAATAAAATTTACAGAAGGGCTATAATAAAGAGGGAAACGCAAAATCGAGTCTGACACAGGAGACCCTGTTCCATTTATACTCAAAGCAACTTTGAAAACTGCGCCGTCATGGTGTCTTTGGGTTGAGACAAAGTCGAAGCAAATTTTGTTCCTAGAGTATTGATTTCCCCTTTCCAATGGCTAAAGGCTTTCGGAACTAGTCTGAAAACTCAGGCTCTGACTTTGGATCTAAAGAAGTGTCAAGAATGTGCGGGCAGTGGCGCTGCATGAATCTAGCGGGTCTGGGCGATGCTCTCTCCGGCTCTACCCAGTAGCAATTGCGGTAAGGACAGGACGCAGCGAAATTGTACCAGTGAGTCAGAGGCCAAAGGAGGAATCCTGGCCCAACAGCGCAGAGTGTGCTTTGTTAAGGTGGGGATCAGGTAGCGGAGGGAAGGCAAGGACACTCGGAATAAATGGCAGAGGAAGAAGGCGCGCGAGGGAAGACCCAAAGCCTTCCGACCCCTCCTTCCTTTCCTTCCTGTTGGGGTTGAAGGGCACCAGCCGGTGGGGTGCAGAGAATGGGAACAACTAGAGAGGGCGTGCCCCACACAGGCGTCCCGGCTCCCTTCTCCCAGCTACTACTGATGAGTTCAAACTAGGAGGACACTAAGACGTGTCTTTTGCAAGGTAGACTCCTTATCTCGCACTCCGTCTGGTTTTCTAAATCCATCCTAATGAAACACAAAAACCAAGAGCCAAATTCTGCGTGTGACTTTTCTGACCACTATAAGGTCCTCCCCCTCCCCATTTCTTGCGTGCTCCCCCCTTGCCTCGCCCCCTCCCCTTTGTCTCCACTTCCCCGCTCCTAAGTATCTCCTGCTTTCTTCAGAGGACTTCTCATGAAGTACAGACTCCTCCACCTCCAGGAAAAAGAGACAAAGTCCACTGAGAAGGACCTGAGGGATGCCTGTGACCCCGCCCCTGAGGTCAGCCCCTCCCGCATCGCTGGCTTTGGCTCTGTATGTGTGTGTGTGTGTGTGTGTGTGTGTTTGTGTGTGCGCGCGCGCTTGTGTGTGTGTCTGTGTGAATGTTAATGGAGAGTCAAAGTGCTAAACTCGGCATCTATCATAGGAAACTTCCTCACCTTGGCACTGCATGCAAGAGTCAGCGTATTTATGTGCACCTGTGCCTTTATTTCAGGAGCTGGAACAATTTTATTCATGAGATCCGCAGAGTGCCAACGCCCCCACCCCAGAAAGCTTAAGGGACTCTGCATTAGAGAAGAGGGTGAGATTGGAGGGGCCCCTGACTCCAAATCTCCTGATCCCCCCCCCACAAAGAGATGCTGAAAAAAAGTGCTGGACAATCCATTCCCTCCTGGGACCAGAGAGGAAGCCAGAGGCACCGTGGATGTCAAATTCCAGCAAAGAAACAATTACAGCAAAATCTCCATGTCACATTTTTAAGCTTACACAATGGCTCAAATAGAACCAGCATCAAAAATCCCGAATTCCTGGTTCAGGTGGGATCACTGAAGTCTGCTGTTAGGCTTGGCAGGACCTGCAGGTAGAAAGAATGGCATCTCTATTTAGAGCTGCAGCCCAGTAGCCCCTGCTTCTTGGGCTCTTTGAAAAGACCCTCTCCCTTCAGCAGTGCACAGTGAGGCCATTTCTGGGGAAGAAATGTAGACTCTCCTTGGGGGAGGTTTTTATACTTAGTTACTGACTTTGCATTCGTTGACTTCATCTTTGAACATCTTACAGTTACATAATTTGCTTTGACTCTAAGTGTAGAACAAGGAACTGTTCCTGAAGCAGAAAACTAAGGGTTGGTGACCTGCACTGTCACCCCTCTCCATGGTGCTCTGATGCAATAAAATTGTGAGCCAACAAATCCATGGATAGGTAAACAGTAAACCATTTCAGCAAATGTTTCAGATGCTCCTTCGTGCCTAGCAATGTGCTAGCTTTACCCCAGCCTTAACATTCTAAAGTTTATATTTTCCTTGGTGTTGTTTTTAAAATAATTCATGTATATTTATTACCATGGGTTTGTTGCTGTAAACTCCTGGGAATGAACTGTAGAATTAAGTTAAGTAAATAAATGTGTGATTCTCCATTGACTTATTGCTAACACCATCTTAAATATTTGACCCCAAATCCAATCACTTCTCACTCCTCTACTACTTTACCCCAGAGCCAATCCTCTCTAGGATAGTAAATCAGATGGGCCTTCCAGCTGGGCTGCCTGCTGCTTCTCACACCTGCTGTCCATCACCCATGCAACAGGCAGAGCGAGCCTTTCAAATGGGAATTACGGCACATCCTCACCATCACATCCCACAGACACTCCATCCTCTTCCTTTCTTAGTGCAATGAAATCCCAGTCTCCCACCATTTCCTACTAGCCCCTCAACACAGGGCATCTGTGGCCTCATCCCACTACTCTCAATAGAGCTTGCTGGTCTCCATTCACACCAGCCTCTTGTCACTGCTCTGTTCTTGTCTCTGGCTTAGAGCTACTTCCTGCTATGGTCCTTGGACTTGTGATGTGCAAGAAGTTCTCAGGTATGGGAGGGACTAGAATGATGGCTTTGCCCCATCTCACATGTAGGGATCCCACTGCTCTTGGGGGATTTGCTGAGTCACTTCTCCCTGTTTCTGCTGGGGCTGGGGATGGTTAACCCAGTCAAGCCACACACCCTGAGAGGAAACCAGGTAGACAGGCTGACTGACAAGGAGGGCACTGCCTGTCAAGTGGCCAATGACCCCAGTCAGAAGAGGTGAAGGGTGAGAGAGGAGGCTGCTGGGAACCAGAAGCTTGGCAGCCAGGAAGACTGAGAACAATCAGGCTGACAGTAGAGGCTGTTCACTCTAAGCCCCAGGGTGCGGGGGAGGGTCCTTTACACCAGGGAGCTTCAGGTCTCGTGACTGTTTCTGGGCTCTGTACTCTCCTGATCCTCCATGAGGATTTTAAACAGTGAGATAAGGTATCCAGGGCCCCAGGAATCTGAATTACCTTTACCAAAGAGATCATCCTTCCATTTCATTTCTTATAAGATATGAAATATTAAATCAAACTAATACAGGATTAATGTGAAGCTAGCAGGTGTTTTGTGGATGGATTCCCCTGGCTGTTTATACTGGGGGAAGAAACAGGCCTGGCCCCATTCACAGATGAGAACAACAGGGTAGCCATACTCAGAGGACCTCAATACTGGGTGCTCCCAACCCTGCAGGAAAGACCCTCCCTGCAAACAGATGTACAGGAGGGTGACTGCAGGATCCCATGCTGTCTCTTTCTCCTCTCCTGAATCCTGGGTTTACCTTCCTAATTTCAGCTAAGTAGCTATATTAACCAGTTATTTAAGACTCACAGGGCCCCTCTCTACCATGGCACCTAACAGGGTCTTCTCTCCTCAAAAGAACTTCAGGAGGGGTCTACTCAATAAAAAGCAGCATGGAAGGGGCGGTAGGGGCAGCTCATCTCTAACTCCTGAAATAGACAGGATGGAGCCACCGTCTCATTCCTCACTTATCCCATGGTCCTGCCTCAAATACAGTCTCCTGCAGGCTCTGCTGGGTCTTTTTATTATCATTCTCCAGGTGGTGACCGGGTCCCTGATGCTGATGTGGTGCTCACAGCTTCCTGAAATATGACCCTTGGGGCCCAACACCAACAGGAGTTGAGGCCGGGGAGAAGCTTCAAGCTGTAGGGGATCTTTGGATTTGAAAGTAGGGGTTGGTCACGGGCTGTCTGTAATGCTCAGGGTGTCAAGGCTGAGAGTGGCTGAGCTGAATCTGCTCATTAGCATGTTCTCCACTGTTTGAGAGCTGCCTTGTGCAGACCAGCAAGACACAGATTGTTCACAGCTCCCCTTGTCTCTTGGAAGACCCTGACTTCTCTTTCCCCAGCTGTGCAGCTGATGAGCTCTATCTCCTCCCAAGCATAGCAAGGGGAGGATGGTGGGAGTGAGGCCCACTCCTCTGATGCCCCAGAACCCCTTCCACGTAATCTCAATATCCAGGCCTGGTGTATCTCCCTGGACCATCATTTCTTTTCTGGGAATGAAAGGGTTACAATATCTCCCTCCTAGATTTCCCTTGTCACTCACTCACCCTGAATAGACTTCTTACTCTATTAGTTATTGTTCTCATATCATTTCTTTGAAGCTGTGGTAAAATATTATCAGCCATTAATAAAACATGGAGGTTAGGTTCTCTTTTTGGATTCTGAGGATCTGCTGTGCTGGGGCAGGGGCAGGTGGGGAGAGAAGGGCGGGTGGAGGGCCAGGTGCTGAGTGGTGTGTGGCCTCGCTCTGTGCTCAACAAAGCTCCTGCTGTGGTCATTTCCTGTTTATTTGTCTGGATCTCTCCTTGCATTGTGATTGGTGCCTGGTCTTTAGGGGTGGGTGCTGCTCCAGGTCGGAGGCCTCACACAACTCCAGGCTGAGCCTTTCTTCAAGTCCATGGAGGTCAAGGGCAGATACTGGCAGCTCTCCATCCTGCCCTCGCCTCCACTTTATCTGGCATATTTTTATATGTTGATCTGATCCTCCTCATAAGGGATGTATATGAGCATTATTTTGTAGGAGAGCCGCTATGTCCCACAGTGGCCATGCTCTGTCCCTGACACCAGGATCCTGTGTGCTTTGTTGTTGTCGTCCCCTAAAGACCCAGGACAGCCTCTGCACATGGGGCTTCTCAGATGACACAGATTGATCGTTCCCACCTCTGCCTTCTTTCCTGTTCCATTTCCAGAATGCTTCTATTGTTTCCCTTTTATTGTAGTAAGTCAAATTTTTGAATTAAGGCCTGGGCACACTCACTCACGCCTGTAATCTTAGCACTTTGGGAAGGCTAAGGCAAAGGGATTGCTTGAGGCCAGTAGTTAAAGACCAACCTCGGCAACATAACAAGACCCAGTCTCTTCCAAAACAAACTGAATTCGCATTGTGAATAGATATGTTATTGCCATGTCATAAATAAATTCTTGTCCCTTTTTCTGTGGGAGCACCCTGTGGTCTGGGTCCTGGCAGGAAAGATATGGCACAGAAGGAAGACACGTTTTAAAGAGGTTCTGGCAGGGCTAAGAAAGTCACAAGGGGCACTGAAGCTCCCTGGGATGATCTGTAGCAGGAAATGGTTTGCATTTCTGAGCTTGAAAGAGCAAGGAAGGGAGCAGTTTCTAGAACTCAGGCAAATCTGTAGCTTTCACTAGGGGCAGCCCGCCATGCCTATGGCTGTAGATAGAGGCCTGAAGTGATTACAGAATCACAGAGCTGCCCAGAGTAAGTGAGGGAAATGAAAACCCTGAGTTACTCCTCCTCCCACACTCCCATCTCCTGCAGGTGCCTGTTATCATCCACACCCAAGCACAAGCCAGATGGTGAAGGAGCACAGGCCATGTCGTCTGTCTGTCATAGTTGCCTCCCAGTGTAGGGGGCAGGATGGAAGAGAGTGGATGATGGCTCTGTGAGGAGATGGAAGCTGAGAATAATGCACTTGCTTACAGTGTTCACATTCTTCATGGAATTTACTTAAATACACTAGCATTTGCTCTAATCCAAAATTATACCTTTAAAAAGCAACGTTTCGGCCAGGCATGATGACTCACGCCTGTAATCCCAGTACTTTGGGAGGCCGAGGCGGGTGGATCACCTGAGGTCAGGAGTTCGAGACTAGCCTGGCCAAAGTGGTGAAACCCTGTCTCCACTAAAAATGCAAAAATTAGCTGGGCATGATGGTGGGCGCCTGTAACCTCAGCTACTTGAGAGGCTGAGGTAAGAGAATTGCTTCAACCCAGTAGGCAGAGGCTGCAGTGAGCCAAAATCATGCCACTGCACTCCAGCCTGAGTGACAGAGTGAGACTCCGTCTCAAAAAAAAAAAAAAAAAATCATGTATATATGCTTAGCAGGTAGTAACATTGAAGAGTACCTAACTCTCCTTCCCTATCTCCACATGGGACGTATAACTCATAAATAAATACCTTAAATTATTTGAGTATAAGCCATAAAAGCAGAGTCTGGCTCATATAAGCAAAAGGAAGTTGCTGGGCAGCTGTGGGTGAGGTTCACAGAATCATAGATGCTTCCAAAGTACCAGGACAGCACCAAGGAGCAGGCAGCAAGCCCTGACCAGTCTCACTGGACTCACCTGTGGAGTGGGAGAATTGTCACTGTTTCCTGATATCTTGTCATTGCTGAGCTTTAAATTCTGGAATAGTTTACTTAAATGGCTTAGTTTGGATCTCATAAATTTCTTATTTGCTTGTGATTTAATTTCAGGGATAGAGTCAATATTTGAATTTGACTCTATCCCTAAAAATGAATTCAATTTTGAAGTTGAATCCAAATTCCATTTCAAGGATAGAGTCAATAGGAATAGAGTCAATGTTTTCCCTTAATGGGAGCTCCTTTTCTCCATTTATCTTCTTAAAGCAGGGGGAAGGGGATGAGTCTTTCAAGTTCCCATGGACCCATGGACATCATGAGATCAACCTAATTGCCCTCATTCCATTTTCCTTTACTTTGCAGAAAAGAAACAAATTCCTTTCCACCCAAAATATGACAGCGCCTGTGGTCCAGGGCTGGAGCCCATAGTGGATGCCCAGCAGCCAACTTCCTGGAATTGAGACCTCCCCAGCAGGCTTGGGGGTGAAAAGAGAAACTAGACTCCAAAAGGGACACCAGTGCTCTGTTGGGGAGAGAGGAGCACACCACTGCATCCCACCCTGAAGAATGGGAGTGAGAAGAGAGGACAGGTGAACCCACCATGGCTCCAGTGAGATGGGAGCGGGGAACGCCCAAGAAGGAGGACAGCCATGGGGTGGCCCCAGCCAAAGCCACCAGACATCATTACATGTCTGGGGCCCTCTCAGGCCGACATGAGTTTTACTGCTCCACACACTCTTTTGTTAAGAGCTAGCTGTCAGTAGATCAGTGAGAGAGCAACTTTGATACAGAGGAAACCATGCCTGAAATGGGTCATCCCAGAAGAATTTAGTAGTAGGTTCTATGCTTCCCTCCAGGGCCTCATGGGCGTGGGCAACTTTTTTTTTTTTCCAGCCACTCACCCTAGGTGATGAAGAAAGCTCTCTGAACTGTGTCCTTGCTGGGCACACAGGCCCCTACCACATGTACATGGCATGGGAGTCATGGCTAAGGCAGGGTGAGACTCCTATTTGAGGCCAGGAAAAGCTAATGACCCTACATTTGGTTCAGTCCTTGTGGGGTCCTGACTAGGGTGTGGGCCACTGTGTTCCCACAGATGCTCTGTTAGCCCTTAGGCTGTGAGATACACAGGCAAATGTTATATTGAAGCCTTTGTTTCTCTTACACGGAGGCAACACTACTGCAGCAGAGCAAACCTTATTGTATCAGTGCACCAACCCCAAGTTCATGTTCATTACAGCAGGAAAAACTAACATGTGGTGAATTCTGCCTCCACAAGGGACAAGGACCTGATAAGACTACAATGACCAGGATGGCCGATATCCCTGTCTTCTTGCAACTCAAACTTTGCCTGGTTACCACCTACTTGCCCCAACTCCTTGGACTCCAGCCCTCCGAGGACAGCCAGACATCTGAAGGAAGTGCCAGGCACAGATGCCAGGTTGCATAAGTGCTGGCCCCTGAGCAACTGGAGAAGCTGTTAGGTCCCAGCTGGCCTAGAGATCCCTGGCTCAGGGAGTATAACTGGATGCCTTGAACAAAGACATGGGGTCACTGGAAAGAGAGGACCGGCTGTCCCTCCCCACTAAGAAATAATTAACTGTTAGATGAGGGGGAATTCCTTTTCAAGGGCTCTGTGGACTGTGCTGCTCTGGAGGGGGTAGGGAGAGGGAGGAGCCCTGAGGTCTGGGCTGGGGTGTGGTTGGGAAGGAGCTGAGAGCTGAGAGCTGTAACTACACAAGGAGCTGCAGGGGTGAGGTTGGTGCAGGGTGGGATTTAGAGGATTTCCCCCAGACTCCTGTGCTGATCCCCTTCATCTCCTCCACCCCCACCCTTGGTGTCTGTCAACATGCGGGGGTGCCCTCATCTTCCCACTGCCCCTGGAGCTGTTCTACTCTTCCACGCTTGCCTTGGGGTTTTCAGAGCAGCATCTTTGTGAGTCCTGGAGTGCTAGGGACCAGGAGGGGAGAGGAGGCAATAGCCTCCTTTAATTTGGCAACAGCTTTTCGTTATCATCTCCACTTTCCAAGGCAGGAAAAGTGAAGGCAACAGCTCTGAGAGATCCTGGAAGAGGAAAAACCATGGCGGGTGAGGCAGGGAGCTGTCTGAGTTTCCTAGCAGACATCAGGAGCCCGCCCTTCCAGGCCTGGGCTTTGCTTCAGTGCCTGGCCCTGCATAGGCCCCTGCCCCTGTCCCGTTCTGCTGCCCCCACCTCCCTCTCAGCCTGGCCCCAGACAGAATCCAGACCAACTCCTGTCTGCTGTGAAAAATGTTCCTGCCAGTTTAGGCAGATCTTGCTTTAGAGCACTGGTGCCCAGCCTTCCACAGGTCTTGTGTCTGTTTTTCTTGGCACTATGTTTCTTCTCATGTATTCTTCTGAATTGGCAAGGCAGGAATTACATCACTGGTTTGCAGATGAGGAAACTGACTCATATGGTTTCATTCAGCATTCATTCACTGTGAAAGTGTCTGTCAGGGCCAATTGTGGGCCAGATGTGCCCGGGGTTCTATAGCTAGCTGGTGGAAAGGCCTGAAGGGTTCATATTCAGGTCCACTTGACTTGAAAACTCATATTGACCTTACTTATGTACTAATTCCCACTTTACAATCCATGCCACAAACTTTATTGTCTTAAGAAGTTGCCACAGCAGCCTTCAGCAGCCACCTTGTGATCAGTCAGCAGTCATCAACATTGAGGCAAGACCCTACTCCAGCAAAAACATTAGTATTAGCTGAAGCCTCAGATGACTGTTAGCATTTTTTAGCAGTAGTGTAATTTTTAATTAAGGTATGTACATATCTATTTTATACATAATGCTATTGTATACTTAATAGGCTAAAGTATAAATATAACTTTTATGTACACTACAAAAACAAAAAAATTGTGTGACTTGTTTTGTTTGCATGATCTGAAACCAAATCTGCAATCTCTCTGAGATATGTCTGTAATTTCCCTTTCCCTCTTCTTGCTGGCCCAGAATGACCTTGTTTCTTGTCCCTGTCTAGCCCTGCCTGTTACAGGGGTTTGCCTTCTCTGGTAGGTCTGGACACTTTGTACCCCCTGTAACCTTGCCTCCTGGCATATGACACTAGTACTAGCCTCAAGCTCTGTTGGACTAGCGAGCCTCACTCCACACCTCCTGAACTAGAACCAAAGCTCTGTGCACACACCATTCATGTGAGTCTGTAGAGATCTCAGCTTCCTGCAGGGTGTTCTGAAACGGTGTTCTGTTGTGACTGGAGGGCATAGCCACAGGTCTCTGGGCAGAGGTGGCTCAGAAAAGAGTGGGTGGCCCCAGTTTGGGTCATCTGGGAAGGGGAAGATTTTCAGATAAAAACCCATGCCTTAGAAGACAAAACTACCCAAGAGCTGGCAGCAGCTAACCAGCTTGCTATCTGGGATATCACTCTGCAGTGGGAGGGAAGATAGCCTCTACCATGGTGTAGGGGTCCAGGGACCAGGCAGGGAGGTCTTCCTAGTGGTCAGTGCTTCTCACAGTTGGGAGATGAATCACCTTTCGATGAGGCCAAAGACCTCATGTTCCTCACTAGCTGACTTGTTCCCACTCAGTGGAAAAAGAACCCAGAACCTTTGCAAAATTTTAGGAGAGAAGGACTTTCCCTCTTTTCTCTTAGTGCCAGGGTTATGCATGACTCATACTTGAATTGCAATGTGTACACAGCTTAAAGTCTTAATTATTAGAACATAAGAGGCCCAAACCACTGTTGTTATAGATATGTAAAACTATGCAGTACAAAATTAAACAACCCCCAACCAATTAACAGTGGAGATAAATTATCAATATTTGTAAATTTAAAACAAGATCGACAGCCCTTTAGAAAAACAACAAAAAATGAGACTTTTGCAAGACAATCTAAATGATACGCTAATAACAAACCTTCATGAAAATGACATTTCGACCATCTGAGTTTCTGCTTTAAGTTACAAATTCCAAAAGGTACTAATCCCCAATAATTTACAGTAGGGAGCCCTAAGCCACAAAGAAAGGTGTCAGGGCACACCTGAGACCTGAAGTGAGAACATACCCTCCCTCAGGGTCACGAGTGAATCCTCTAAGACCCCTCCTCCCTCAGACACTCCATCCAGTCATCAGAAGGTCCACACAGCACTAAGACCCAACCACCTCACTGTCTTCACCTCCATGGAGAGAGCCCAGGTGACAGCCACCCCTGCTCCTCCTCCTTCATCTCCCACAGCCTCAGCACCATCGTCTGCCTCGAGTCCACCAGGACTGAGCTCCTCATGCCCTTTCCCTGTTTGTGTCAGTCACACTGGGTCCCCCATATACCCAGCACTTGCATCCCCACAAGGCTCCGCACGCTCTATTCTGTCCCCCCACCATGTCCCCTACCTAACTCCAGAAATCTTCCCTCTGTACTCCCTGGAATCCTCAGTCCATGATCAGCAAAACCTCCTCATTCTCTCTCAGGATGCTCCCTCACCTCGAAGCTCTAGCAGGAACCAGGTCTTCCTGAGGATGTGACCCACTCTGAAGTTCCCCTACATGGGGGAGTTTCCCAGCAACTTGTACCCCTGGGTTCAGAGGTGAGGTGGGGTCCTTGCTCTTCACTGTGGTTCTCAGACCTTTCTGCCTCCCTCCTCCCTAAAACCCCTAAGCTGTCAACAGACTAAGGCCCCGCTCCCCTCATTGTAGCCATTCCCTGTGGGCCCCAAGCCATTCCTGTCAATCCTAACTCTTGTAGCTCCTAGATCACTGTCACCCTCTCCAGCAGTGCTGTCTCCTTGATTCTTTCTGACTTCAACATATGCAGATGTGCTGGGCTGAGTACTAGTCCCCAAAGAGATCCAGTCTTAGTCCTTGGAGTCGGTGAACAGGTTGCATTGCATGGCAAAAGGGACATTACTCATGTAATGAAGATAAAAGACCTTAAAGTAGGGAGATAATCCTGGACTCTCTGTGTGGGCCCGATCAAATCACATGAGCCATTAAAAGGAGAGAATCTGCTCTAGATGGAGTCACATGCTGCAGAGAAGGAAGGCAGAGGAGACACAGCAAAGGGGAGATCAGTGGTTCCAAGCAGGAGGATTGGATGTGCTTTAGGCACCAGAGAGAAGTCTCTAGGATCTAAGGGTGCTCCCAAAAAGGAAGTGGGAAGCTCAGTTCTATCTGCAGGAAGTGAATTCAGACAAGAACCTGAATAAGCTTGGATGTGGACTCTTCCCCAGATTCTCCAGGAAGGAGCACAGACCTGCCCATACCTTGATCTTAGCCCCGTGAGACTGGGTGGACTTGCAACCCACGCAACTGTGACATGATAATTAGGTGCTGTTTAAAGCTGCTTGGTTTGTGGTAATTTTTATGGCAGCAATAGACACCTATACAGCAGAGAAGATGCCCTCACTCCCTGGCCTCTCAGATCCTGGAACTCCTTTTCTTCATTACCATCTCCTCTCTCTGCCGGAATCTCAGGACCTTGTCCTCCCCTAGGCCTCATCATGGCAAAGAACCCCAGCCCTTCCACACTCTCAATCTCACACTTCCCACTCTCTGGCCATCTTTCCACTCATCCCCTTGCAGGGTAGCCACAGGCTCTGAAGACACTGATGCTATAATTTGATCATATGCTATAATGTAACATCAGTGAACCACTCATTGCATGTGTGCCTGCTTTCCAGGCATGGAGTCCATTCTGTAGTACATCTATTCCAATAATTTTTCCACCCCCTTGAAATTCCCAATCCAGTGATGCTGCTATCTATTCCTTCTCCCTTAGTGTTTGTTGTCCTCTCCTCCCTCCTCATCCATTTTGGATTCTGTAGTAAATAATTTCCATCCCTCCCTTGCCTCTCCCTTTCGTTGTCACACTTGCCTGGCAAAACTACACAGCTAGTGGATTCCACCTCAGCCTACACTGCACCTGCCCCCATAAGCTGCAGGAGGCTGGAGAGCAGCACACAGCATGCTGACTGTTCTCTCTACATTCACGACCCAAACCTCATGGGGAGCCCCCACCATAGCCAGCAATCACCCTCTCCCTGCATGGCTCACTCTCAGCCTCCTCCTGGCCTGGGTGACTCTTACATACCTTCTCTCTGTCCTCACACATCCAATCTTCCTTCCCCATTCTTACTTCCGCTGATGATCTTGCTTCCTACTTCACTGAGAAAACTGAACACATTTAGAAGACAACTTCACAGATTCCACCACCGTCTGCTCATGCATTTGCAGCTGCACCACATGTCAGGCATTTTACTACATGGGGGATTGCTGTGTGTTAACCATCCTGCTCCCAGCCAGAGCCAGTTCCTCTGCTGGTGCCCTGAACATCATCCCTTCTCATCTACTTAAAGTGTTAGCTCATCAATTAATACCTTTTTTTTCCCTCTATTGTCATCCCTTTTCCTTTTATTCCAGTGGATCATTGTGGCACTCATGAGGATGCACATCCCAGGCCCTCAGGTAGAGGAAGAATAATTGATGATGTCCCAGCTGTCGCAGCCTGAAATCTATTGTCACGTTTGATCTGAGACCACACCTGCCCCAGCTTTTTCCAACCAATGATTGACCAAAGCAGGAAAACTAAGGCAAGAATATTCCTACTCTGAAGGCTGGCTGAGGCTCCAGGACTCCCTGCCATCCCTACTGAGCTTCCCTTAGCCTACACAGGGTCTAGGATGCTTCCAGCTGACCTTCCTGCCCTCTCTCCTTCACTGGGACTCAGAGTTGCATTGTGATCTGATGGCTTTTCCAGCATTTCTGTCTCTATCCTGATTTTCTCTCACAACTATTTCCCCTAATAAATCCTTACACATTTAATACTGTATTGGGGTCTAAGTTCAGGACCGCAGCTATCACAAGTGGTATCAAGGGCGATCCATGAAAATGACCAAAACTGGAAATTTGAAATAAGCTTTCCCACTGCCTGTCAGGCCAAGAGGATGCCATCTAGGTTAGCGGGGGACAAAGAAAGTCCATAGAGAAGTTGCGTCTGAGTGCCGTGGGTCTCACCAGTGCTAACCTGAGAAGATGCTCTGGTTAGGGGAAGCTATGGCAGATGTGGTGATAGAATGCCCTGCACAATAATGATGGAGTTGGGGGTAAACCCACAAAGACAGTGGAGTTGGCTGGTTACTTCCCAGCTGTGTTGATGCTCTATAAAAGGATAATGAGAATCTGCAGGTTGTTAACAGCTGTCACTGGCTATGTGTGAGAGTCTCTGCAGTGTCTCATGGAGAGGCCTTTATCTCCTGGATCAAAAGAGCAGATAGCATGGAATGGTAGCTGAACATCATTATGGTGGGCACAGTGCTCCAGAGACGTTTGATACTCAGCCAACACAGGCCTTTTATAGGAAAGTCAGGGCCCTGGTGGGGGAACCTCAGATTCTGCAAACTAGAACAGAGTTATCTGATGGGTGCCCTCCTCCAGGACCCCCTGGGCATGCAGAGGAGGCTCACCCTTCTCTAGTAATCGTTCCCACTTCCTATGCTGAAAGATGCTACAGAAGCCTCACTCCTACGATGCAGCAGGAATCCCACTCAGGAGCTTTGCAGGAACTAGCCAGCATGTCCCCATAGGGGCCTGGGGTGCACTTCTGGGATTGGAATTTGAGGGCATTTGATCAATAAACTAGAATTTCAGTCTGGATGAATAAAAATCCTTTGGCTTGGAGGCACTTTCTCAGGACATGGGTTTATCAAAGAACCCAGGACATGGGGTAAACCCACTACTGGGGTGAGTCCATATAGACTGGAAAAAATGATGCCCAACTCTCAACAAGGTAGATATGACCTAGTTATCCTGGAACATGTAGAGGATGCAATAACAAGGCTGAGGGAAGTGGGCGTGATGAAGGCCCACCAGGACCATGCTCCACAAGAGGACCCAGAGGGCACATCTTCCACCAGAGCCTCAGGAACATGCTGTGGAGAGGGACCTGCATCACTAAGAAGTGTCGGGGTGTTATCCTCTGCAGGCTGGGGGTAATGATAGTAAAGGTCCCAGAGTTGTGCTTATTCATATCTCTGGGGAGAATGTGGGCCTGAAGAGACTGAGAACAAGTGGTGGCAGTGACCTGCAAAAGCCGGAGGGCATGGTTACCATGGCAACCTCAGAGGAGCAGCCAAGGGGACTCAAGCTGCAGGGAGTGTGGGGAAAGTTAGTAGAGAGGACACCAGGGTTACAAGAGGCAGCCAACAAGGGCACTGCTTGATATATATGATAAGAAAGCAAGAATTGAGGAGCAGGAGACTGAGGGTGTTCGACCAAATACAAAGCCATGATCCCCTTCTCAATGCCTAGACCTCAATCAAGATTCAGACTCAGATCTCAGTGACAGAGGAGGAGTCCATATCCCTAGAGAAAGGACCCTGGGACACCATGGAGGTATATGGCTGGGACAATTCCCTCAGTCTTTCAGCAAGGGAACCTATAGCCATTTACTCAGGAGACTGTACATTGGGGAAGGGAAATAGGCAGAACTAGGGGGGATCATTTTCACTGCATGTAAGCTGATATTGATGCCCAGATGCCCACAGCACAATCATCTTCTCCATCACAGTGGGGCTTACGGAGGCCAGGGAGTAAACCTGGACACATTATGGCCCGCAATGGGACCACTGGATGCATAGACCCAACCCTGATTATCTTCCAATTCCCTGAGTGCATAATTGACACTGATGCTCTGGTAAGTGGAGTCACCCCCACACTGGGTCCCCAGTCTGTGGTATAAGGGATCTCTTGATGCCAAAGGCCAAAGGGAAACCTCTGAAACTGCCCCCATCCTGGCCAAATCAAAAATCATAGTGTGTCCCAGCGTGGGTCTTGTGAAGGACACTGCAAGTATTGTGGGGGTCACACCACCATTACAAAGCTGAAGGAGGCGGGGTGGTGTTGAGGCTGCCTATTGTCTCCGTGTAATCCAGCAATCTGTCCCTGAGGAAGCCTAGTGAGGCCTAAAGAATGAATGAGATTACTCCAGATATGGCCAAGTAGGAGTTATAAGTGCAGCTTTTGTGCTGTCTGGATATCACTGGTAGAGCAGATTAACAAAGCCTTGGGCACACAGTGTGCAGCTGTGGATTTGGTGAGTGCATTTCTTTCCATTCCAATTACAAAGGGGATATGGAGTGATTCACATTCATGTGGGATCCACAACACATTGAATTATAGTTTGCCTCAGGACTTTTGTAACTCCCCTGTCCTCTATAGTATAGTCTTATGACTATACTAGACATACTGGATATCCTAAAGGATATTAAATCAGCTCATTTCATTTACAACTTCATGTTGACTGGGGCGAATGAGCAGCAGGTAGAAAGTGCACTGGCATCGTTGGCAAAACATTTGCACTTCAGAAGGTGAAGATAAACCTTACAGAGCTTCAGGAAAGGTCACTGTAGTGAAGTTTTATGAGTCCAGTGTTTAGGGGAATGCCAGGGGTGTCCCCTCCTAGGTAAATTACAAAGTGTTGCATTTTGCATCCTTACTGCAAAAAAAGAAAGCACTCTTGGAGTTCTGACGACAGCACATTCCACATGTAGAAATGTTGCTTTGGCCCACACTCTAGGTGACATAGGAGGAGGCCAGCTTCAAGTGAGGCCTACACAGGAAAGCACCCTGCAGCAGATACAGGCTGCGGTGCAGCCACCATCCCTCAGACCTCTTGGTACTGGAAGGGGCAGGGGTGGGGAAAGATGCAGGATGGAGCTGAACCAAGCAGCAGTGGGAGAGTCATGGTGGAGGGCCTGGGATCTGGAGTAAGATCATGTCATCCACAGCAGAGACATGGCTCCCCATTAGAAGCAACTTTTAGTGTTCCTGGTCCTGATTCGATAGAATGCTTAACCACAGGACACCAAGCAACGATGTGATTCCAAGTACCTGTGTGAATTGGCTTCTGTGTGACCCAGAAAGTCATAGATTGGACAGGCCCAACAGCATTCATCATGAGGTGAAAATGGTCCACCTGGGTTGTGCTTGAATCCCATGTTGACACCCCCAGAAAACACCCAAGTCTGAAGCAGCACTGAACAACCAAACAGACAAATGGAAGTTAGCCAGCCTTCACTATGGGTCAATGCAGGCCTGGTAGGATGGGCACATGAATGGAGCAAGCACAGTGGCAGGCATGAGGCTACATATGGGGCCAGAAGTACTGACTCCCCATTATCAAGACAGATCCAGCTGCTGCCACCTCTGAATGTCCAACTCATCAGCATTTGAGGCCCACCATGTGCCCTAGTGGGGCACTATTTCTTTAGGTGACTAACTAGCCACTATGTAACAAGTTGACTACATTTAGCTACTTCCATCCTAGAAGGGCCTGAGGTTCATCTTCACAGGGGTAGGCTCATATTCCATGGGTGAGTTTTCCTGTCCTGCTCTCGGACACTCAGCCAGCACCACTCTCTGGGTGCTGTTGACATTCCTGATCCACAGGCTAGGTGGTGCTCCCAACCCAGTATCTGCCTGAAGGACCCACTTGGCAGGGAAAGTTCCAGTGTTTCCGTGGCTATGGGTTTCACTGATCTGATCACCATCTGCACCACCCAGGGGCTGCCAGCCACAAGGAATGCTGGAAATGTCTTCTACAGGCAAAACTCAGTGTCATCCTGGAGGAAGCACTCTGAGGGGTGGGGGCCGTTTTTCAGGACATGGTGCATTGTTTGAATCAGAGACATCTCTACGGTGCTGTGTTCTCAATAGGAAGAATATGTGGGTCTAGAAACCGAAAGTTGGAAGCAGGTTTGTCTCCATGTCCAGTCTCTTAGATTCACCCACTGGGGTATTTTGCACGTTTTATCTCCCAACTTTGGGCTGTTCAGGGCAGGAGGTCCTTAAAAGGAGACACATGACAGCCCATTGAACTACACATTATGGTTGTCACCAGAGAAGTTTGGACAGTATGTGCCCAGAGACCAGCTGGTGAGAAAAGGAGTCTCTTCCTCTCCAGGTGCAGGTAATAGATCCTGCTCTCCAGGAGGAGGCATGGCTACTTTCACACAATGAGGGCAGAAGTGTGTGTGTGAGAACCAGAGATCTACTTGGGGGCCTTCTGGTTTGCCTTGTCCCTTTGTAAATGTGAGCAGAATCATCCAGCAATCCAGCCTGAGAGGATTTGATTTCCAAGGGCCCAGACCTCTCAGGACAGGAGGTTTGAGCCACACTCCTGGGTAATCACCCAAGGCCCCACTCCTGTGCTCTGACATCCTCAGTGTCATTGGTGCAGAGACCCTGCTTCCCATGGGCTGTTCCCAGCCAGTGATGGGTCACACCAGTGACACTGAGGCAGGACATTCCTGGGAGACCAGGGACTCCTCTGACGGACAGCAGTGGCTCAAAGACTCCTCCATGGCTTTGCTCAACTCTCCTGAGATTGCCTGTGGTCTAGGACACATCCAGTAAACCTTCTGTCCTTCTGTCCATCACTGGGGGTCACATTTGCATCTTGGTCTGTTGCCTTTCCCAGGGTAACCTGCCTCCGTTGCTATATCTCTGACAGGTGTGTCCCCTAATAAAATCCTGTAACTTTAATCCCATGATGGCACTTGGAATGCAAAATCATTTTCATCTGCACACCAGTGACCTCTTACTTACTCCAATTTGTAAAATCCTTTTGTTTGTTCAACTTCTACCTGCATTGGCTCCATTTTGCTAGTATTTGTATTATGCTTTTGAGATAGTCGATGTTTGTTGCTTTAAGTCACTAAATTTGGGGGTAGTTTGTTATACAGCAATGGATAACTAATGAAGCCCTCTTACATTTCTGTTATTCTATAGAGGTTAAATACATCCGTTTTATTTCCTCCCATTTTGATAATATTAGCCATATATTGGGTTCCTAGTTTCTCTACGCCTGTTTTTTTCTTTATTTTCGTTTCTTTTCTCCTTTATTCCTTCCCTTTCTTCTCACTTCTATCTCTCCCTCCCTCTCTTTCTTTTCTATTTCCATTTGCCCTCCCTCCCTCCTTCTCTTCCCCTTCCTTCTTTGCTTCCTTCACTCCTCTCTCCTTCTTTCTCTCCTTTCCTCCATTTTTTTCTTTTTTATTATGACATATTCTGACATATAAAATAACCCTATGTGTTTGTACTATAAGGAAACATTTTCTGAATCTATATGTTAAAAGTATAAAGCCATGGTATATAGGATACAAGTTAACAACAGGAAGTTATTAACAGAGTCTGAATAAGAATGCCTGCTATAGGCTGGGCATGGTGACTCATGCCTGTAATCCCAGCACTTTGGGAGGCCTAGACGGGCGGATCACGAGGTCAGGGGATAGAGACCATCCTGGCTAACACGGTGAAACCCTGTCTTTACTAAAAATACAAAAAAAAAATTAGCCGGTGTGGTGGCGGGCACCTGTAGCCCCAGCTACTCAAGAGGCTGAGGCGGGAGAATGGCGTGAACCCAGGAGGTGGAGCTTGCAGTGAACCGAGATTGTGCCACTGCACTCCAGCCTGGGCGACAGAGCAAGACTCCGTCAAAAAAAAAAAAAATCTGCTATAATTCTGCAGCCAAGGCAGTTGCTATTAACTCTTAATTCCTTCAACTCAGTGTTTTCAGAACACATCAACATCACATATTACACATTTATTGTAAAAGCTTAAGTTGGCACAATTACTTTGGAAATCATATTATCATTATTTAGTATGGTTAAAGGCCATACAACATATCATCCAACCATCCCACTCCTAATCATACACTCTGGCGGCTTTCTCGCCTATGTGCCCAGGAGACATGCACACTAATGTTTATGGCAAAAACTGGAATCAGCCTCCTATACATCAATAGCAAAGTAGTGAAATTGTGGTATAACCATAAAATGTAAACCTTCAGCAGTAAAAATGAGTGAATGACAGCCTCCCACACAACAGATAACTCCTATACATAATGTGCATCATGAGAAAAGAAATGTAGTAGGAATTTCTGTACAGGAAGCTTAAAAACCAGTGAAACTAATATTTGGTTTGAGATTATATATACTTATTGTACAAATATTTAAAGAAATACAAAGTAATAATAAAAACAAGACTCAGGATGGGGTCTCATTCTGGGGGATGTGAGTGGGCAGCAGCCCAGGGTGGCTTTGCGGGTTCTGTGTCTTATGCCAGTGCTGGGAACCCAGGTAACTACTAGATTATAACTCCTTAAACAGTATTTTTCAAACTAAAATATACCTGTTTCTTAAAAAATGAAAGAAAAAAATATCAAAGTTCATTGCAAGGATCCTTAACAAGAACTACTTACATTGGAAGAAAGCCACAGAGAATTGTAAGGAGCCACATGACAGAGAGGCTCCTTACAGGATGCCATGACAATACCCTTGGCTAAAGGGCCATATGATCCTTGGCTCACAGGCATCTCTCTAGATTTTCAGGTATACAAGATTCAATCTGATGTGCAAGGTAATTCCATTTTGCAAAGGATTTGATTTGTTACATATTCCACACATACAACTGAATTAAACTTTTACAGAATTGGAAATGCACATCATTGATCAAAATAGATGAAACAATAAAAGAGTATAAAGGAACAACCAGTGATGGAATAGCAAATATGAATGGAAAACACAACAGGATTGCTCAAAAAAACTTGAAAGCACAAAATTGCAGTGCTATTTAGAATCATAGTGGTGTCCAAATCACTTCTATCGTATCTGATTCAATACCAGAACAAAAGATGTTAAGTTTATTATAGAATGCTCACCAAATAGCCAGTTTTTGAAAAATCTTATGCCTCAGTTGGAGCTAACCATTTTGGGCTACTGCATCCAACCAAAGCTATTGACATCTTGCTAAGCTAGATGTGTTAACTGAGGTATGAGATTCACATTTTTGTAAATTAAAACCAATTAGGCAAATTTTTTAAAGTGAAATCAAGTTTATGAGAGAAGTAAGGAAACAAAAGAATGGCTACTCAATAGACACAACAGCCCTTTTTTTTAAGTGTAGGCAAATGTTTTTTGAAGATGATATTTCAATAAGAAAATTGGCACTTGGGGCATACTTCAACTAAATGTGAGACACCTTAGTTGAAACAAAGACTTATTTTCAAGTCATTATTTTTACGGCACAGAAGTCTTTGGAATATTTGCTCTAGTTACTCTGGGTTCTCAACTGTTGACTCATTGAAGAGAATATTGTTATTAAAGGTATTTGCAAGAAAAACTCAGACATACTATTGTATCCTCTTTCTCTGTCTCAAACAGTTTTCCCCACAACACCCAAGGCTCTGTGATGTCTCAAACTTTTAATCATTAATTTAAAAAGAGAAGCTTATCACAGAATTAGAAGAAACTATTTTAAAATTCATATGGAACCAAAAAAGAGCTCATATAGCCCGGACAATCCTACACAAAAAGAACAAAGCAGGCGGCCTCAGACTACCTGATTTCAAACTATACTACAGGCTACAGTAACCAAAACAGCATGGTAATAGACTAATGGAAGAGAGTAGAGAACTCAGAAATAAAACCGCATATCTAAAACCATCTGATCTTCAACAAACCTGATGAAAACAAGCAACAGGGAAATGATTCCATATTTAATAAATGATGTTGGGAAAACGGGCTAGCCATTTGCAGAAAACTGAAACTGGACCCCTTCCTTACATCTTACACAAAAATTAACTCTAGATGGATTAAAGACCTAAATGTAAAACCCAAAACTATAAAAACCCAAGAAGAAAATCTAGGCAATACCATTTGCCTGGGCATGGGCAAAGATTTTATGATGAAATCGCCAAAAGCATCTGCCACAAAAGCAAAAACTGACAAATGGGATCTAATTAAACTAAAGAGCTTCTGCACAGGAAAAGACACTGTGATCAGAGTGAACAGACAACCTACAGAATGAAAGAAAATTTTTGTAATCTATCCATCTGACAAAGATCTAATATCCACAATCTACAAGGAAATTAAGCAAATTTACAAGAAAATAACAAACAACCCCATTAAAAAGTGGGCAAATGACATGAACAGACACTTCTCAAAAGAAGACATACATGTGGCCAACAAACATATGAAAAAAAGCTCATCATCACTGGTCATTAGAGAAATGCAAATCAAAACCACAATGAGATACCATCTCATGCCAGTCAGAATGGTGATTATTAAAAAGTCAAGAAACAACAGATACTGGCAAGGTTGCAGGGAAATAGGAATGCTTTAACTGTTGGTGGGAATGTAAATTAGTTCAACCATTGTGGAAGACAATATGACGATTCCTCAAAGATCTAGAACTAGAAATACCATTTGACCCAGCAATCCCATTACTGGGTATATACCCAAAGAAATATAAATCATTCTATTATAAAGTTACATCCATGTGTATGTTCATTGCAGCACCACTCACAATAGCAAAGACATGGAATCAACCTAAATGCGCATCAACAATAGACTGGATAAAGAAAACATATGACATGTACACCAAGGAATACTATGCAGCCTTAAAAAGGAAGGAGATCATGTTTTGCAGGGACATGGAAAAAGCTGGAAGCCATTATCCTCAACAAACTAATGCAGAAACAGAAAAACAAACACTGCATGTTCTCACTGATAATTGGGAGCTGAGCAATGAGAATCCATGGGCACTGGGAGGGGAACACTGTGTCCTTTTGGGGGAGGGCAGAGGTGGGGTGCGCATTAGGAAAAATAGCTCATTCATGCTAGGCTTAATACCTAGGTGCTGGGTTGATAAGTGTAGCAAAACACCATGGCACACGTTTACCTATGTAACAAATCTGCACATCCTGCATATGTACCCTGAAACTTAAAATAAAAATTAAAAAGAAGCTTAAAGCATTAAAGAAAAATAATCACATGAAAGAAGCATTTGATTTACAAAATCCTGAAATAATAATTTTAATTTTGCTTTCAACATTTATGCAAATCCCTTGATACTCCTCCCTTCCAATGGTGCAGCTTAATTCCTTCCCTGTGAGTTCGGCTTGGACTTAATGATGCACTTCTGATATGGCCTCGCCCTGTGTCCCCACCCAAACTCATCTTGAATTGTAATCCCCACGTGCTAGGGGAAAGACATGGTGGGAAGTGATTAGATCATGGGGATGGTTCCCTCATGCTGTTCTCATGATAGTGAGTGAGTTCTATGAGATCTGATGGTTTTGCAAGAGTCTTCCCTGCCACCCCCGCCCCTGACAACCTTGCATTTCTCTCTCCCACCACCATGTGAAGAATGACATGCTTCCTTCCCCTTCTGCCATGATTGTAAATTTCCTGAGGCCGCCTCTTCAGTCATGCAGAACTGTGAGTCAATTAAACCTCTTTCCTTTATAAATTACCCAGTCTCAGGTATTTCTTTATAGCAGTGTGAGAACAGACAAATACAACTTCTAACTGATAGAGTAGTGCTGATATAACAGTTTTTGACTCTGGGTGTAGAACATAAAACTCACTGCAGCTTCTCTCTCTCTGTCTCTGGGATCATGAGCTCTGGGGGAAGCCAACTGCTGTGCCATAAGCAGCCCTGCAGGAAGGTCCATGTGGCTAAAAACTGAGGCCTCCTGGGACCGGACAACAAGGAACCATGTGAGTGAGCCATGTTTCTTGTAAATCCCAAGCCCTAGTGAAGCTCTCAGATGATGCAGCCCTGGACTGGACTGTAACCTTGTGAGAGGCTCTGAGCCAGAAGCACTCAGGGAAACCTTGCTCCTGGATTCCTGACCATTGGAAACTGCGGTAGATGATGTTTGTTGTTTTGCGCTGCTAAGTTTTATGTAATTTGTTATGCAATAGTAAATAACTAATACATTTTCATAAGAGAGGATGATTTATTGCACTTCAATTTTCATTTGCTCTAAATTTATGATCATGATTATTACTATTTTTGAGACAGCATCTTGCTCTGTCACAGAGGCTAGAGTGCAGTGGCATGTTCACCATTCACTGCTGTGTTGACTTCCTGTGCTCAAATATCCTCTGACCTCAGCCTCCTGAGTAGCTGGCTGGGACTACAGGCATGAACCACCATGCCTGGATAATACTCTAATGTTTTTGTAGAGATGGAGGTTTCACCATGTTGCCCAGGCTGATCTCAAACTCTTGGAGTCAATGGATCTGCCTTCCTCTGCCCGCCACAGTGCTAGGATTGTAGGTGCCAGCCACCACACCTGGCATGAATTAATTATAAGCTATTAAACCTGTCACTTGATTTTAAGAGGTAAGGTGAATCTCCATGGCTGAAGAGGATGTATTTTATTATCATTCACAATGATCGCTTTACTTGAACTTCAATTTCCAACTGTGTCACAATTAAACACAAAAGGAAAATCCAACCCTTGCTAGGCTGATTCTATAATAGCCCCAACAACCAGCTCCTGGTCATCCACCTTCCCCCAATTATTCAACCAACTCTACTGTAGGTGCTGCTGTGAAGGGATTTAGCAGATATAATCAAGGTCCTCAATCAGTTGACTTGAGGCTGGGTTTAGCCTGCTTGGACACTCCTAATCAGGTGAGCCCATGAAAGGACTGGGTTCTTCCTGAGCATAGAGATTCACAGTGTGAGAGGGATTCAGTGTGAGGGGTTTCCTCCACTGTGGGCTTTGAAATTGAAGGGGCTGACTAGAAAAGAATGCTGTTTGGCTCCAGGCATTGAGCACAGCCCTCCCTCCTCTCTACCTTGACAGCTAGCAGGGAACAGGAAACTCAGTCTTAACGACTGTCAGAAACTGAATTCTGCCGCCTCTATATATGCTTGAAGGAGGATTCAAAATGAAAACACAGCTTTGGGAAGCCCTGAATAGAGACCCCGTCTACATCATGCCTGGATTTCTGCCTAAAGAACTGTAAACAGATCAGTGGATGTTGTTTGGGCAGGTGTGGTAGCACACACCTGCAATCCTAACATTTGAGGGGCTTACACAGGAGGATCACTTACACTCAGGAATTTGAGACCAGCCTGGGTAATGCAATGAGACCCTCATCTCTACAATTTTTTTTTAATTAGCTGGGCGTGGTGGCATTTGCCTGTAGTTCTAGTTACTCTGAAGACTGAGCCAGGAGGATCCTTTGAGCCCAGGATTTCAAGGCTGCAGTGAGCCATGACTGTGTGACTGCACTTCAAAATGGATGAGAGAAAGAGACCATTTCTCTAAAAATAAATGAATTAATTAAATAAATGGGTATTGTTTAAAGCCAATATTTGTGATAATTTGTTATGCAGTCATAAAATTCGTACAGTCTCAACAGACAAATGGAATGAATTTATGAATTGATATGCACACTAGTTACATAAAATAAAAACTTTCTCAATCTTTTCCAGTATTGTTTATTTTATAATTTTCTGTGATGAAATTAAATTTTAATACACTCATATTTCATTTATTCAGTCAACAAAAATTAATTTGGGGAATAGGAACAGCTCCAGTCTACAGCTCCCAGGGTGAGCAATGCAGAAGACGAATGATTTCTGCATTTCCAACTGAGGTACCAGGTTCATCTCACTGGGGACTGTCAGACAGTGGGTGCAGGACAGTGGGTGCAGTGCACCAAGTGTGAGCCAAAGCAGGGCGAGGCCACGCCTCACCCAGGAAGCGCAAGGGGTCAGGGAATTCCCTTTCCTAGCCAAGGAAAGGGGTGACAGATGGCACCTGGAAAATTAGGTCACTCCCACCCTAATACTGCACTTTTCCTATGGTCTTAGCAAACGGCACACCGAGAGATTATATCCCATGCCTGGCTCGCAGGGTCCTACACCCACAGAGCCTCGCTCATTGCCAGCACAGCAGTCTGAGATCAAACTGCAAGGCGGCAGCAAGGCTGGGGGAGGGGTGCCCGCCATTGCTGAGGCTTGAGTAGGTAAACAAAGCGGCCAGGAAGCTCGAGCTGGGTGGAGCCCACACAGCTCAAGGAGGCCTGCCTGCCTCTGTAGACTCCACCTCTGGGGGCAGGGCATAGCCAAACAAAAGGCAGCAGAAACCTCTGCAGACTTAAATGTCCCTGTCTGACAGCTTTGAAGACAGTAGTGGTTCTCCCGCATGCAGCTTGAGATCTGAGAACAGACAGACTGCCTCCTCAAGTGGGTCCCTGACTCCCAAGTAGCCTGACTGGGAGGCACCCCCCAGTAGGGGCAGACTGACACGTCACACGGCCGAGTACTCCTCTGAGACAAAATCTCCAGAGGAAAGATCAGGCAGCAACATTTGCTGTTCACCAATATGCATTGTTCTGCAGCCTCCACTGCTGATACCCAGGCAAACAGGGTCTGTAGTGGACCTCCAGCAAACTCCAACAGACCTGCAGCTGAGGGTCCTGACTGTCAGAAGGAAAACTAACAAACAGAAAGGACATCCACACCAAAACCCCATCTGTACGTCACCATCATCAAAGACCAAAGGTAGATAAATCCACAAAGACGGGGAAAAAACAGAGCAGAAAAACTGAAAATTCTAAAAATCAGAGTGCCTCTCCTCCTCCAAAGGAATGCAGCTACTCACTAGCAATGGAACAAAGCTGGAAGGAGAATGACTCTGATGAGTTGAGAGAAGAAGGCTTCAGACGATCAAACTTCTCCGAGCTAAAGGAGGAAGTTCGAACCCATGACAAAGAAGTTAAAAACCTTGAAAAAAGATGAGATGAATGGCTAACTAGAATAACCAATGCAGAGAAGTCCTTAAAGGACCTGATGGAGCTGAAAACTACGGCACGAGAACTAAGTGATGAATGCACAAGCTTCAGTAGCTGATTCGATCAACTGGAAGAAAGGTTATCAGTGATGGAAGATCAAATGAATGAAATGAAGTGAGAAGAGAAGTTTAGAGAAAAAAGAATAAAAAGAAATGAACAAAGCCTCCAAGAAATATGGGACTATGTGAAAAGACCAAATCTGCATCTGATTGGTGTACCTGAAAGTGACGGAGAGAATGGAACCAAGTTGGAAAACACTCTGCAGGATATTATCCAAGAGAACTTCCCCAATCTAGCAAGGCAGGCCAACATTCAAATTCAGGAAATAGAGAGAACACAACAAAGATACTCCTCAAGAAGAGCAACTCCAAGACACATAATTGTCAGATTCACCAAAGTTGAAATTAAGGAAAAAATGTTAAGGAAAGACAGAGAGAAAGGTCGGGCTACCCACAAAGGGAAACCCATCAGACTAACAGCTGATCTCTCGGCAGAAACTCTACAAGGCAGAAGAGAGTAGGGGCCAATATTCAACTTTCTTAAAGAAAAGAATTTTCAGCCCAGAATTTCAAATCCAGCCAAACTAAGCTTTGTAAGTGAAGGAGAAATAAAATCCTTGACAGACAAGCAAATCCTGAGAGATTTTGTCACCACCAGGCCTTCCTTACAAGAGATCCTGAAGGAAGCACTAAACATGGAAAGGAACAACTGGTACCAGCCACTGCAAAAACATGCCAAATAGTAAAGACCATTGAGGCTAGGAAGAAACTGCATCAACTAATGAGCAAAATAACCAGCTAACATCATAATGACAGGATCAAATTCACACATAACAATATTAACCTTAAATGTAAATGGGCTAAATGCTCCAATTAAAAGACACAGACTGGCAAATTGGATAAAGAGTCAAGACCCATCAGTGTGCTGTATTCAGGAAACCCATCTCACGTGCAGAGACACACATAGGCTCAAAATAAAGGGATGGAGGAAGATCTACCAAGCAAATGGAAAACAAAAAAAGGCAGGGGTTGCAATCCTACTCTCTGATAAAACAGACTTTAAACCAACAAAGATCAAAAGAGACAAAGAAGGCCAATACATAATGGTAAAGGGATCAATTCAATGAGAAGAGCTAACTATCCTA
Organism: Homo sapiens; assembly: GCF_000001405.40. NCBI lineage: Eukaryota > Metazoa > Chordata > Mammalia > Primates > Hominidae > Homo > Homo sapiens. The sequence goes on from NT_167247.2 coordinate 1,044,860, forward strand.
AATATATATGCACCCAATACAGGAGCACCCAGATTCATAAAGCAAGTCCGTAGAGACATATAAAGAGACTTAGACTCCCACACAATAGTAATGGGAAACTTTAACACCCCACTGTCAACATCGGACAGATCAATGAGACAGAAAGTTAACAAAGATATCCAGGAATTGAACTCAGCTCTGCACCAAGCAGACCTAATAGACATCTACAGAACTCTCCACCCCAAATCAACAGAATATACATTCTTCTCAGCACCACACCGCACTTATTCCAAAACTGACCACATAGTTGGAAGTAAAGCACTCCTCAGCAAATGTAAAAGAACAGAAATTATAACAAACTGTCTCTCAGACCACAGTGCAATCAAACTAGAACTCAGGATTAAGAAACTCACTCAAAACTGCTCAACCACATGGAAACTGAACAACCTGCTCCTGAATGACTACTGGGTACATAATGAAAGGAAGGCAGAAATAAAGAGGTTCTTTGAAACCAACGAGAACAAAGACACAACATACCAGAATCTCTGGGATGCATTCAAAGCAGTGTGTAAAGGGAAATTTATAGCACTAAATGCCCACAACAGAAAGTAGGAAAGATCTAAAATCGACACCCTAACATCACAATTAAAAGAACTAGAGAAGCAAGAGCAATCACATTCAAAAGCTAGCAGAAGGCAAGAAATAACCAAGATCAGGGCAGAACTGAAGGAGATAGAGACACAAAAAACCCTTCAAAAAATCAATGAATCCAGGAGCTGATTTTTTGAAAAGACCAACAAAATTGATAGACCGCTAGCAAGACTAATAAAGAGAGAAGAATCAAATAGATGCAATAAAAATGATAAAGGGGATATCACCACCAATCCCACAGAAATACAAACTACCATCAGAGAATACTATAAACACCTCTATGCAAATAAACTAGAAAATCTAGAAGAAATGGATAAATTCCTCGACGCATACACCCTCCCAAGACTAAACCAGGAAGAAGTTGAATCTCTGAATATACCAATAACAGGCTCTGAAATTGAGGCAATAATTAATAGCTTACCAACCAAAAATAGTCCAGGACCAGATGGATTCACAGCCGAATTCTACCAGAGGTACAAGGAGGAGCTGGTACCATTCCTTCTGAAACTATTCCAATCAATAGAAAAAGAGAGAATCCTCCCTAACTCATTTTATGAGGCCAGCATCATCCTGATAGCAAAGCCGGGCAGAGACACAACAAAAAAAGAGAATTTTCGACCAATATCCCTGATGAACATAGATGCAAAAATCCTCAATAAAATACTGGCAAACCGAATCCAGCAGCACATCAAAAAGCTTATCCACCATGATCAAGTGGGCTTCATCCCTGGGATGCAAGGCTGGTTCAACATACGAAAATCAATAAACATAATCCAGCATTTAAAGAGAACCAACGACAAAAACCACATGATTATCTCAATAGATGCAAAAAAGGCCTTTGACAAAATTCAACAACCTTCATGCTAAAAACTCTCAATAAATTAAGTATTGATGGGACGTATCTCAAAATAATAAGAGCTATCTATGACAAACCCACAGCCAATATCATACTGAATGGGCAAAAACTGGAAGCATTCCCTTTGAAAACTGGCACAAGACAGGGATGCCCTCTCTCATCACTCCTATTCAACATAGTGTTGGAAGTTCTGGCCAGGGCAATTAGGCAGGAGAAGGAAATAAAGGGTATTCAATTAGGAAAAGAGGAAGTAAAATTGTCCCTGTTTGCAGATGACACGACTGTATGTCTAGAAAACCCCATCATCTCAGCCCAAAATCTCCTTAAGCTGATAAGCAACTTCAGCAAAGTCTCAGGATACAAAATCAATGTGCAAAAATCACAAGCATTCTTACACACCAATAACAGACAGACAGCCAAATCATGAGTGAACTCCCATTCAAAATTGCTACAAAGAGAATAAAATACCTAGGAATCCAACTTACAAGGGATGTGAAGGACCTCTTCAAGGAGAACTACAAACCTGCTCAATGAAATAAAAGAGGATATAAACAAATGGAAGAACATTCCACGTTCATGGATAGGAAGAATCCATATCATGAAAATGGCCACACTGCCCAAGGTAATTTATAGATTCAATGCCATCCCCATCAAGCTACCAATGACTTTCTTCACAGAATTGGAAAAAACTACTTTAAAGTTCATATGGAACCAAAAAAGAGACCACATTGCCAAGAGAATCCTAAGCCAAAAGAACAAAGCTGGAGGCATGACGCTACCTGACTTCAAACTATACTACAAGGCTGCAGTAACCAAAACAGTATGGTACTGGTACCAAAACAGAGATACAGACCAATGGAACAGAACAGAGGCCTCAGAAGTAACACCACACATCTACAATCATCTGATCTTTGACAAACCTGACAGAAACAAGCAATAGGGAAAGGTGCTGGGAAACTTAATAAATGGTGCTGGGAAAACTGGCTAGCCACATGTAGAAAGCTGAAACTGGATCCCTTCCTTACAACTTATACAGAAATTAATTCCAGATGGATTAAAGACTTCAATGTTAGACCTAAAACCATAAAACCCAAAAGAAAACCTAGGCAATACCACTTAGGAAATCAGCATGGGCAAGGATTTCGTGACTAAAACACCAAAAGCAATGGCAACAAAAGCCAAATTAGACAAATGGGATCTAATTAAACTAAAAAGCTTCTGCACAGCAAAAGAAACTACCATCAGAGTGAACAGGCAACCTACAGAATGGGAGAAAATTTTTGCAGTCTACCCATCAAACAACCCCATAAAAAGTGGGCAAAGGATATGAACAGGCACTTCTCAAAAGAAGACATTTATGCAGCCAACAGACACATGAAAAAATGCTCATCATCACTGGCCATCAGAGAAATGCAAATCAAAACCACAATGAGATACCATCTCACACCAGTTAGAATGGCGATCATTAAAAAGTCAGGAAACAACAGGTGCTGGAGAGGATGTGGAGAAACAGGAACACTTTTACACTGTTGGTGGGACTGTAAACTAGTTCAACCATTGTGGAAGACAGTGTGGCAATTCCTGAAGGATCTAGAACTAGAAATACCATTTGACCCAGCCATCCCATTACTGGGTATATGCCCAACGGATTATAAATCACGCTACTATAAAGACACATGCACATGTATGTTTATTGTGGCACTATTCACAATAGCAAAGAATTGGAACCAACCCAAATGTCCATCAATGATAGACTAGATTAAGAAAATGTGGCACATATACACCATGGAATACTATGCAGCCATAAAAAGGATGAGTTCATGTCCTTTGTAGTGACATGGATGAAGCAGGAAACCATCATTCTGAGCAAACTATCGCGAAGACAGAAAATCAAACAGCGCATGTTCTCACTCATAGGTGAATTGAACAATGAGAACACTTGGACACAGGGTGGGGAACATCACACACTGGGGCCTGTCGTCAGGTGGCGGGATGGGGGAAGGATAGCATTAGGAGAAATACCTAATGTAAATGACTAGTTAAAGAGGGCAGCAAACCAACAGGGCACATGCATACATATGTGACAAACCTGCACGTTATGCACATGTACCATAGAACTTAAAGTATAATTTTAAAAAAATGTAAGAGAAAAGAATACCAAAGTTAATTGCAAGGATCCTTAATAAGAACTACTTACATTGGAAGCAAACCACAGAGAATTGTAAGGAGTCATGTGACAGAGAGGACCAGGATGCCATGAAAATGGACTTGGCTAAAAATAGGTCATTTAACCCTTGGCTGACTGGCATCTCTCTAGATTTTCAGTTATACAATGTTCAATCTGCTGTGCAAGGTAATTCCATCTTGCAAAGGATTTGATGTTACATTCTACCACACATACAACTGAATTAAACTTTTACGGAATTGGAAATGCAAATAATTGATCAAAATAAATCAAACAAGAAAAGAATAGGAAGGAATAACCAGTGATGGAATATCAAATATGAATGGAAAACAGAATAGGACTGCTAAAAAGAAAAAAAGCTTCAGAAGCACATAATAGCCGTGTTATTTAGAATCATAGTGGTGTGCAAATGACTTCTATCACATCTCATTCAATACCAGAGCAAAAGATGTTAAGTTTATTATGTAATGCCCACCAAATAGCTAGCTTTTGAAAAAAACTTGTTTCTCAATTTGAGCTAACCATTTCAGGCTACTGCATCAAACCAAAGTTATTGGCATCATGCTAAGCTAGATGTGTTGACTGAAGTATGAGATTCACACTTTTGTAAATGAAAAGCAATTTGATTAGGCAATGTTTTCCTAAGTGAAAGCAAGTTATTAGAGAAGTAAAGAAACAAAAGAATGGCTACTCCATATAGCGGAGTTTTTGTTTTTTTTTTTAAGTGTAGGCAAATGTTTAGTGAAGATGATATTTCAATAAGAAAATTGGTGCTTGGGACGTGCTTCCACTAAATTTGAGATATCTTAGACAAAACAAAGTCTTATTTTCAAGACATTATTTTTATCAGACTGAAGTCTTGGAACTATTTGATCTAGTTACTCTATGTTCTCAACTGTGTTAACTAATTGAAAACAACATTGTTATTAAAGGTATTCACAAGAAAAATTCAGAGTTACTGTTGCATATCCTTTCTCTGTTTCAAACTGTTTTCTCCTAAGCACCCAAGGCTCTGTGATGTCTGAAACAGTTAATCATTAATTTTAAAAGATAAGCTTATCGTGGAATTAGAAAAAAAAACTATTTTAAAATTCATATGGATCCAATAAGAGCTCATATAGCAAAGAGAATACTAAGCAAAAAGAACAAAGCTGGAGGCAGCACACTACCCCACTTAAAAGTATACTGTGAGGCTACAGTAAACAAAACAGCATGATACTGGTACAAAAACAGGCACATAGACCAATGGAACAGAATAGAGAATTCACAAAAAAAGTCCGCACATCTACAACCATTTGATCTTCAACAAACCTGACAAAAACAAGCAACGGGGAAAGGATTCCCTATTTAATAAATGGTGATGGGAGAACTGGCTAGCCATATGCAGAAAATTGAAACTAGACCCCTTCCTTACACCTTACACAAAAATTAACTCAAGATAGATTAAAGACTTAAATGTAAAACACAAAATTATAAAAACCCTGAAAGAAAATCTAGGCAATACCATTCAGGACACAGGCATGGGCAAAGATTTTATGATGAAATCGCCAAAAGCATCTGCCACAAAAGCAAAAATTGGCATATGGGATCTAATTAAACAAAAGAGCATCTGCACAGAAAAAGAAACTATCAGAGTGAACAGACACCCTACAGAATGGGAGAAAATTTTTGCAATCTATCTATCTTACAAAGGTCTAATATTCAGAATCTATAAAGAACTTAAGCAAATTTACATGAAAAAAACTTCATTAAAAAGTGAACAAAGGACATGAAGAGACATTTCACAAAATAAGACGTACATGTGGCCAAAAAAACATGAAAAAAAGCTCAACATCACTGATTACAGAAATGCAAATCAAAACCACAAATGAGATACCATCTAATGCCAGTCAGAATGGCAATTATTTAAAACTACATAAACACCAGATGCTGGCGAGGTTGTGGAGAAATAGGAAGGCTTTTACACTGTTGCTGGAAATGTAAATTGGTTGAACCATTGTGGAAGACAGTTTGGTGATTCCTCAAAGATTTAGAACCAGAAATACCATTTGACCCAGCAATCCCATTACAGGGTATACATCCAAAGGAAAATAAATCACTCTACTATAAAGATACATGCATGTGTATGCTTATTGCAGCACTATCCACAATAGCAAAGACATGGAATCAGCCCAAATGCCCATCAATGATGTACTGCATTAAGAAAATATGGTACATATACACCATGGAATATTATGCAGCCACAAAAAGGAATGAGATTCAGTCTTTTGCAGGGATATGGATGAAGCTGGAAGCCATCCTCAGCAAACTAACACAGGAACAGAAAGCCAAACGCCACATGTTCTCACTTATAATTGGGAGATGAGCAATGAGAACACATGGACACAAGGAGAGGAACATCACACACTGGTGCCTGCTGGGGGAGGGCAGTGGTGGGAGGAGTATTAGGAAAAAATAGCTAATGCATGCCAGGGTTAATACATAGGTGATGGTTTGATAGGTGCAGCAAACCACCATGGCACACATTTACCTATGTAACAAACCTGCGCATCCTGCACACATAACCTGGAACTTAAAATTAAATTAAATTAAAAGACAAGCTAAAAGGGTTAACGAAAAATAATTAGATAAAAAAATTTTGATTTTCAAAATCCTGAAACAAGAGTTTTAAATTTGCTTTTAATATATATTCAAATCCTTTAATACTGTTCCCTTCCAGAGATGCTGCTTAATTTCCTCTCTTGAGTGTGGCTGGGACTTAATGATGCATTTCTGATATGGTCTGGCTCTGAGTTCCCACCAAATTCTCATCTTGAATTGTCATGCAAATTGTAATCCCTATGTATCGGGGGAGGGACCTCCTGGGAGGTGATTGGATCACGGGTATGGTACCCCCATGCTGCTCTTATGATGCTGAGGGAATTCTCATGAGATCTGATGGTTTTATGAGGTATTTTTCCCCACTTCGATCTGCAATTCTCTCTCCTGCCACCATGTGAAGAAGGACGTGTTTGCCTCCACTTCTGCCATGATTGTAAGTTTCATGGGGCAGCCTTCTCAGCAATGCAGAACTATGAGTCAATTAAACCTCTTTCCTTTATAAATTACCCAGTCTCAGGTATTTCTTTATAGCAATGTGAGAACGGACTAATACAACTTCTAACTGGTAATGCTGACATAAGAGTTTGTGACTCTGGGTGTAGAACATAAAACTCACTGCAGCCTCCCCCTTCTCTCTCAATGTCTCTGGAATCATGAGCTCTGGGGGAAGCCACCTGCTGTGCCATAAGCAGCCCTGAAGGAAGGTCCATGTGGCTGAGAACTGGGGCCTTCTGGGAACAGAAAACAAGGAACTAGGGCTTTTCCAACAGCCATGTGACCCATCCATGTTTCATGTGAATCCTCAGTCCCAGTGAAGCACTCAGATGATGCAGGCCTAGGCTGACAACTGGACTGCAACCTTGTGAGAGGCCCTGAGCAAGAAGCACTCAGGGAAACCTCTCCTGGATTCCTGACCATTGGAACCTGCGGGAGATGATGAATATTTGCCATTTTGAGCTGCTAAGTTTTACATAATTTGTTATGCAATAGTAAATAACTAACACATTTTCACAAAAGAGGATGTAGTATTACACATTAATTTGCATTTGCTCTAAATTTATCATTATTATTAATATTATTGTTATTGAGACAGGGTCTCGCTCTGTCGCCCAGGCTGGAGTGCAGTGGCATGATCACCATGCACTGCAGTGTCGACTTCCTGGGCTCAAGGGACCCTCTTATCTCAGCGTCCTGAGTAACTGGGACTACAGGCATGAAGCACCACGCCTGGCTAATTTTCTAAATTTTTTTGTAGAGATGGGGGTTTCTCCATGTTGCCCAGGCTGATCTTCAACATCTGGAGTCAACAAATCTGCCTTCCTCTGCCTTCCACGGTGCTAGAATCACAGGTGTGAGCCACCACACCTGGCCTAAATTAATTATAAGACATTACACATGTAACTTAGTTTTAAAAGGTAAGGAGAATGTCCATGGCTGAAGAGGATGCATTTTATTACTATTCACAATGATCACTTTACTTGAACTTCAATTTCCAACTGTGTCCAAATTAAACACAAAAGGAAGATCCAACCCTTGCTGGGCTGATTCTTTGATGGCCCCCAACAGCCACCTCCCGGTCATTCACTTTCCCCCAGTTATTCAAGCAACTCTAGTGTAGATGCTGCTGTGAAGGGATTTAGCAGATATAACTAAGGGCCTCAATTAGTTGACTTTAGGCTGGGTTTATCCTGCTTTGACTGTCCTAATAAGGTGAGTCCTTGAAAGGTCTGTGTTCTTTCTGAGCATAGAGATTTGCAGTGTGAGAGGGATTCAGCATGAGGGGTTTCCTCTACCGTGGGCTTTGAAAATGAAGAGGCTGTGTAGGAAAGAACACTGTTAGGCACCAGGAATTGAGCACAGCCCTGCCTATTCTCTGTATTGACAGCCAGCAAGGAACAGAAACCTCAGTCTTACAACTGCCAGAAACTGCATTCTGCCACCTCTGTATAAGCCTGAAGGAGGATTCAAAATGAAAACACAGCTTTTGGAAGCCCAGAACAGGGATTCTATCCACATCTTGCCCAGATTTCTGACCAAGGAAGTATAAGCAGATAAATGGGTGTTGTTTTGCCAGTCGTGGTAGTGCACGAATGAATTGATGAATTGATATGCACACTAATTACATAAAATAAAATATTTCTTAACTTTTTCAGTATTTTACATTTTATAATTTTCTGTGATGCAATTTAATAGACTCATATTTCATTCATTCAGTCAAGAAAAATTAATTTAATCCCTACAATGAACCAGGTGTGCCCTCATATGCTTACGTGCCTGACATTCCAGAAGCTTCACAAGACCAAGGTGGAGCCAGTGGAATGTTTTAGGTGGAGAAATGACACACTCTGACTCACAGGAGCAGGACCACTGTGCAGAGAACAGTCACGTAGCAGGTAATGGGACAGTGCTAGTGTCACAAATAAGGAGTGACAAGGTGGTGGGGACTAAGGGGAGAGGAGGGCCTGAGGGATGAGAGGAATGGAGGGAAGGGCTGGAGATGCAGGAGGTGAGGAAATGGAGCAGAGGGAAAGAATTCGAAAGCAGCAGAACTCAGGTTTAAACACATTGTTTTATATATTTTAATACATCAATCTACAGAGCCTTGCAGGGTGATCTTTGCAGTTGGCCTTTAATACCTTATGTGGGTCTGCCTAAAAACTAATTTTTTTATGTTAATCAGGTTTAAAAAATACTAAGTGTTCATATAAAATATACACAACACTTAGAAGTGGATACTTCCTAAAAACAGGCAGTGCATGAGCACTGGTGAGGGGCATTGTGACTGCATTGAGTGCTTGCCACTGTGAGATGAATAAAGTCCGTACTGGCTCCTGGTTACAACATATAGTAACACAGTGGCTACCTTGTATTAGGAGATGTCCTGGACTCACACAGAAACTCAGGGCTATGGAATGAAGGTAAATTTAAAATACTACAAGCGGGAGTCACAGATACATTGTCTGGGAAAGTGAAACTTAGGAGCTTTGTGATTCCTGTTGTAATGCTTTTAGACACATTTATATGTCAAGGGACCAAAGTCACATTTTTGGCCGATTAGATTCCTGATCATTAGGAGTTACCAAGATTCTGCTACCCACTGTAGTTAATAAACAAAAAGCAAACTGGTCTCTATTCTATCTCATGCACTCAGGCACAACTTTTCCAGATTTAAAAAACAAACAAACAACAACAACAAAAAACCCTGTCTCTACACCTCCATTCCCAGGGCAAGCTCACTCTCTGGCAACAAGCTCCCTGGGGTGATTTTTCTTCTAGAAGAGTCCACGGGGACAGGTAAGGAGTAGGAGGCAGGGAGTCCAGTTCTGGGACGGGGATTCCGTGATGCAAAGTGAAGAGAGAGGGACGGGGCCCATTCCGAGGGTTTCTCCCTGGTTTCTCAGACAGCTCCTGGGCCAAGACTCAGGGAAACATTGAGACAGAGCGCTTGGCACAGAAGTAGCGGGGTCAGGGCGAAGTCCCAGGGCCTCAGGCGTGGCTCTCAGGATCTCAGGCCCCAAAGGCGGTGTATGGATTGGGGAGGCCCAGCGCTGGGCATTCCCCATCTTTGCAGGGTTTCTCTTCTCCCTCTCCCAACCTGTGTCGGGTCCTTCTTCCTGGGTACTCACCGGGCTGCCCCAGTTCTCACTCCCATTGAGTGTCGGGTTTCTAGAGAAGCCAATCAATGTAGCCGCGGTCCCGGTTCTAAAGTTCCCACGCACCCACCGGGACTCCGATTCTTCCCAGTCGCCGAGGATGGTGTCATGGCGCCCCGAACCCTGCTTCTGCTGCTCTCGGGGGCCCTGGTCCTGACCCAGACCTGGGCAGGTGAGTGCGGGGTCGGGAGGGAAACGGCGTCTGTGGGGAGTAGCTAGGGGCCTGCCCGGCGGGGGCGCAGGAACCCGGTTGCGGTGCCGGGAGGAGGGTCGGGAGGGTCTCAGCCCCCTCCTTGCTCCCAGGCTTCCACTCCTTGAGGTATTTCCACACCACCATGTCCCGGCCCGGCCGCGCGGATCCCCGCTTCCTCTCCGTGGGCGACGTGGACGACACGCAGTGCGTGCGGCTCGACAGCGACGCCACGAGTCCCAGGATGGAGCCGCGGGCGCCGTGGATGGAGCAGGAGGGGCCGGAATATTGGGAAGAGGAGACAGGGACCGCCAAGGCCAAAGCACAGTTTTACCGAGTGAACCTGCGGACCCTGAGCGGCTACTACAACCAGAGTGAGGCCTGTGAGTGACACCGGCCGGGGGCGCAGGTCACTACCCCTCCACATCCCCCACGGACCGCCCGGGTCTCCCCGAGTCTCTGGGTCCGAGATCCACGCCGAGGCAGCGGGACCTGGAGACCCTTGACCCGGGAGAGGCCCAGGAGCCGTTACCCGGTTTCATTTTCAGCCAAAATCCCCGCAGGTTGGTCCTGGCGAGGGCGGGGCTCGGTGGGCGGGGCTGGCCGCGGGGGCGGGGCCAGGGTCTCACACCCATCTAGAGGATGTCTGTCTGCGACGTGGGGTCGGACGGGCGCCTACTCCGCGGGTATCACCAGCTTGCTTACGATGGCAAGGATTACATCGTCCTGAACGAGGACCTGTGCTCCTTGACAGCCGCAGACACGGCGGCTCAGATCACCCAGCTCAAGTGGGAGGCGGCCCGGGGGGCGGAGGTTCATCCTCACAGGGATAGGCACCTATTAGATGTGGTGTGGTTTTCCTCTCTACTCTTAGACCCTCAGCCAGTATCACTATTGGCATTCCTGAGCCACTGGCTCAGAATTTCAGTACATTATCTGCCCGCGGGACACACCTCAGAGGAAAGGGGATGAAGCGTGGTCCATGACCATGGCACCCCCTGGTCTTATCACCACCTGCACCTCCCAGGGGCTGCCAGCCACACAGAGTCATGGACAGGTCTCTACAGACACAACTTAGTGCCAGCTTGGATGAAACCCTCTGAGGAATGGGTGCCATCTTTCAGGATGTGGTGCATGTATTGAATCAAAGATGTCTCTATAGTGCTGTGTTTACAGAAGGAAGAATACGTGGGTCCAAAAACCAAGAAGTAGAAGCAGGTGTGGCTCCATATCTAAACCCTTATATTCACCTTCAGGGTGATTTTGCACTTCTCATCTCCAATATCTGGGCTCTGTAGGGGAGGAGGTCCTGGTTTCCCAAAGGGGGCACCCTGGCAAGGAGACATTTAAATGAGAGTCCATGGAAATACACATTATGGCTGCCCCCAGGGATGTTTGAATAGTATGTGTCCAGATACAAGCAGGTGAGAAGAGGAGGAGGCAGGGCTGCTATCACACAAGGAGGGCAGGAGATGTGTGTGTGGAAATAAGAGATCCACTTGGAGACCTTATGGTTCCCCTTGTCCTGTTGTAAGTGTGAGCAGAATCATCCAGCAACCCAGCCTGAGAGGGTTTCATATTCAAGAGCCCAGAACCCTCAGGAAGGAAGGATTGAGTGATACTCACAGGTAATGTCCCAAGGCTGTGCTCCTGTGCTCTGACATCCTCAGCAGGATTGGTGCAAAGCCCTGCTTCCCATGGGCTGTTCCCAGCCAGTGACTGGTCACAGCAGGCATTAAGGCAAGCCATTCCTGGGAGACACGGGACTCCTCTGATGGCTAACTGTAGCTGGAAGACTCCTCCACGGCCTTGCTCAACTCTCCTTAGATTGCCTGTGCTCTAGGATGCGTCAAACAAACTTTCTCTCCTTCTGTCCAGCACTTGGGGTCACACTTGCATCGTGGTCTGCCGCCTTTTCTCAGGGATTTCTGGCTCACTTCCCATATTCCCTTACGGGTGTGTCCCCTTATAAGATGTCGCAGACTTTAAGCTCATCTTGGCATCTGCTCCTTGAAGGACTTGGACTAAAAATTATTTCCATCTGCATATCAATAACTCTTATTCCAACCTGTAAAATCCTTCTCTTTATCCAACTTCTGCCACCCCCACAGAATCTATTTTACTTGTGTGTGTAGTATCTCTTTGAGTTAACAGATATTTGTTCTATTAAGCTACTAAATTTTGAGGTAGTTTGTGACACAGTACTTGATAACTATTAAGGCTTTCTTAAGTTTCCATTATTCCATGGATATTATCTACATATCTTTTAATCCCTTGCATTTTAATAACTTAGCTATACTTGCTGTTTCCAACTCTTTCCTCCTATTTTTGAACATTTTAAATTTTGTCTTTCTCTGTCCTTCCTTCCTTCTTTCCTCCTTTCCTCCCTCAGAGCTTTCTCCCTCCCTCCATTTTTTTCATAAACTCCAAGTGTTTAGGCCAAAAGGAAGCATTATTTGAACTTTATGCTAAAAGTATAATGCCGTAATTTATAATATAAAAGTAAAGAAAAGGAAGTTGTTAATGGAATATGAAAAAATGCCTAGGGTGATTCTATAGCCAAGACAGTACCTTTTAACATTTAATTTCTGCCTCCAACTGAATGTTTTCAGAACACATGAGCAACACAAGCTCTTTCCCATTCTTGGTACAAGCACTTGAGAAATCAAATTAGCCTTATCTAGTATGATTAATGTCCATACATCATATAATCCCACCATCTGCCTCCTGATCATACCCCCTGGGGACATTCTTGGCTATGTGTCCAGGAGACATGTACACCAATGTTTATGGCAAAAACTGGAAACAATCACATATACATCAATGGGAATTAACAAAATAGTCGTATAATAATAAAAAGTAAAACTTCAGCAGCAACAGTGAATGAACAGCACCCTCCCACATCAGAGATAACTCTCCTACACATAACATGCATCAGCATCACAGAAGAATGCACATTGTGTGAGTTCTCTGTACGGGGAAGTTAAAAAAAGCAGGTCAAACTGTGATTTGGATATATATATATATACTTATTGTAAAAATCTTTAGAGACAATGAAAAGGAATAGTAAATACAAGACTCAAGATAGAAGTTCCTTTTGGGGAATAGAATTGGACAACAGCCGAGGGTGGCTTCATAGGTTTTGTTTTTTATGCCAGGAGGGGATGTCCAGGTAGTTAAGTTACTTGATCATAAATCTTTCTTTCTTTCTTTCTTTCTTTCTTTCTTTCTTTCTTTTTTTTTTTTTTTTTTTTTTTGAGACGGAGTCTCGCTCTGTCGCCCAGGCTGGAGTGCAGTGGCGTGATCTCAGTTCACTGCAACCTCCGCCTCCCAGGTTCAAGCAATTCTCCTACCTCAGCCTCCTGAGTAGCTGGAATTATAGGCATCCACCACGACACCCAGGTAATTTTTGTATTTTTAGTAGAGACGGGGTTTCACCATATTGTCCAGGTTGGTCTCAAACTCCTGACCTCAGGTGATCCGCCAACTTCGGCCTTCCAAAGTGCTGGGATTACAGACATGAGCCACCATTCCCGGCCCACAAATCTTTAAAGTGTCATTTTTCAAAATGCACCTTGTGTGCCATTCCTGACTGATTATTTGGAAATGAAAGAGAAAAGAAAATACCAAAGTTCATCTCAAGGATCCTTAGCAATAACTACACACGTTAAAACAAAGCCACAGCCAATTGTAAAGAGTCATGTGACAGAGAGGACCAGGATCTCATGAAAAATAGCCTTGGCTAGAAAGAGGTCATTTGACCCTGGGCTAATTGGCAACTCTCTACATTGTCTGGCATACAGTGTTCAATCTGATGTGCAAGGCAATTGTATCTTGCAAAGAATTTGAGAATTTGATATGTTGCTCACATTTTACCACACATACAAGTGGATTAAACTTTTACACAGTAAAAAAAAAAAGCATTGTTGAGCAAAATAAATTAAATGAAAAGACATAAAGGAATAACTAGTGATGAAATAGCAATAAGAATGGAAAACATGAAAGAGATGCTTGTACAGCAATGATAGCAGCACAAAAGAACAGTGTTTTTCAGAATCATACGGGAGTCCAAATCACTTCTACCACATCTAATTAAAAAACACAGTGAAAGATGTTAAACTTTCATAGGATGCCCACTGAATAGCCAGTTATTGAAAAATCTTGTTCCTAGATTGGAGTAAACAATTTCTGCCTACCCTAGCCAAACAAATTATTGTCATGATGCTAAGCTAGTGTATAGACAGAGGTGTGAGATTCACATTTTTCTAACTGCAAAGCACCCTGATTAGGCAAATATTTTTGTAGATGCTTGAGTAAGAAAATTGGCATTTTGGGCATTCTTAAACCGAATTAGAAACTTCTGAAGAGAAACAAACGTAGTTATGATTGTAAAGGCATTATTGTATGGCACCAAAGTCTTGGGACACTTTAATTTAGCTACTGTATTTTCTCAACTCTGTTGCAACTTATCAAAGAGAATATTAATATTAAAGGCATTTACAAAAAAAATCTGAGATATTGTTGTATCTTCTTTCTCTGTCTCAAATATTTAATCAACTTTACAGAAGAGAATTTTAAAGTATTAAAAAAAGTCAGATACAAGAAGTATTTGATTTACAAAACCCTGAAACAATAATGTTAATTTTGCTTTTAACATGTTTATAAATTCTTTGATACTCCTCCTTTCCAGAAGTGCAGCTTCATTCCCTCCCTGTTCGTGTGGCCTGGACTTAATGACTCACTTCTAACTGATAGAGTAATGCTGACATAATAGTTTGTGATTCTGGGTGTAGAACATAAGACTCACTGAAGTTTCTACTTTGGTTCTTTCTTTCTCTGGAATCATGAGCCCTGGGGGAAGCTGGCTGTTGTGTCATAAGGAGGCCTGTGGTCCATGTGACTAGGAAGTGAGTCCTCCTGGGACCAGACAATAAGAAGCTAAAGCCTCTTCCAAAAGCCATGTGAGAGATTCTTGTGTCTTGTGAATCCCCAGCCCCATTTGAGCCCTCAGATGATTCAGCCCTGGAAGACAACTAGACTGCAACGTTGTGAGAGGCCCTGAGCCAGAAGCATTCAGAGAAACTTCTCCTGGATTCCTGACCATGGATAACTGTGGGAGATGATAAATATTTGTTGATTTGAGCTGCTAAGTTGTAGGTGACTTGTTATGCAGCAGTAGATAACTAATACAGCTTCACAAGAGAGGATGAATCACTGAACTTTTTCATTTGCTCTAAATTCATTATAAGATATTAAACATGTCATTTGCTTTTAATATTTAATAAAAATTTCCATGGCTATATAAGATATATTTTATTATCATTAACAATGATCTATTTTTTGATCTTCAACTTGTATGTTCTATTTAAACATGAAAGGAAGATCCAGGCTAGCTAGGCTGATTCTATGATGACACCCCAATAACCACCCTTGGTTTCTCAGGTTACCCCAGTTACTCAGTTGACACTAAAGCAGGTGCTGCTGTGAAGAGGTTTTGCAGATATATTTAAAGTCCCCAGTCAGTTGACTTTAAGATGAGGATTATCCTGCTTAGACGGTCCTAATCAGGTAAGCTCTGAAAAGGACTGGGTTCTTCCTGAGAATAGAGACTCACAGTGTGAGAGGGATTCAGCGTGAGGGGCTTCCTCCACTTTGGGCTTTGAAAATGGAGGGATCATGGGGAAAGAACACTGGTGGCCAATAGGAATTAGAAGCCCTCCCCACTGTCTACTCTGATAGCCTGAAGGAAACAGGGACCTTAATCCTACAATTGCCAGAAACCGAATTCTGCCAACAAACTCTACATAAGCTTGGGGGAGAACCCCAATCTTAAGATGAGGATACAGCTTTGCGAAACTCTGAACAAAGAGTCTATCACATTAGGCCTGGATTTCTGATGAAGGAAATGTAGACAAATAAATGGGTGCTGTTTTCAGCCACTAAGTTTGTGGTAATTGGTTATGTACTGCCAGGAAATAAATAAACAGATTCAAAGGATAAGTATATGACATTTTCTCCACCGGAATGAATTCATGAACTGATATGCATAGTAGTTGCATAAAACCAAATATTTCCTAACTTGCTTTGCATTTTCCATTTCATGATTTTTGTGTGATACAATTTTGAACACAATTATATTTCATTCATTCATTCAACAAAAATTAACTTAGTGCCTACTATGTGGCAGATATACTTTTATATTCTGTAGATACAACTTTGATCAAAACAACCCAAAGCCCCTGTGCTTGTGCCTTCCATTCTAGAGGCTTCTTGAGAGTAAGATGGAGCCATTAGAGGCTTTTAAGTGAAGAAATGACACAATCTGACTCACATTAGCAGGATTGCTGACCTTTGTGGGGAGAACAGTCATGGGCAGCAGGCAAGGGACAGAGCTAGGGACACAATTCAGTAGTGACAGAGTAGTAGAGACTAAGGGGAGAGGAGGGCCTGAAGGATGACAGGGACAGAGAGAAGGGCTGGAGAAGCAGGAGGTGAGGTAAAGGAACAGAGAGAAAGAATTCTAAAGCAATGGAATTCTCAGACTTAAATACAGTGTTTTATAGATTTTTAATGCATTTATCCGCAAAGCCTGGCACAGTGTTACTTGCACCTTGGTCTTTAATGCATTCTGTGGGGCTGTCTAAAAGCTAATTGCCTCTCTAAGATAAAAAGGTTAAAAAAGGCCGGGCGCGGTGGCTCACGCCTGTAATCCCAGCACTTTGGGAGGCCGAGGCGCGTGGATCACAAGGTCAGGAGATCGAGACCATCCTAGCTAACATGGTGAAACCCCGTCTCTAATAAAAAATTACAAAAAAATTAGCCGGGCGTGGTGGCGGTCGCCTGTAGTTCCAGCTACTTGGGAGGCTGAGGCAGGAGAACGGCGTGAACCCGGGAGGCGGTGCTTGCAGTGAGCGAGATTGCACCACTGCACTCCAGCCTGGGCGACAGAGCGAGACTCCGTCTCAAAAAAAAAAAAAAAGGTTAAAAAAGAATACCAAATGTCTCAATAAAATATACACATAGCTTAGATGTGAATAATTCATAATAATAGGCAAGTGCATGGGCCGGCCATTATAGCTCATGCCTGTAATACCAGCATTTTGGGAGGCTGAGGCGGGAGGATTGCTTGAGCCCAGGAGTTCAAGACCAGCCAGAGCAATTTAGGGAGACCTCATCTCTACAAATATTATTTTTAGAAAAATTAGCCAGGAGTGGTGGCACAAGCCTGTGGTGCCAGCTACTTGGGAGGCTGAGGGAGGAGCATTGATCACATGAGCCAAGGAGGTCGAGGCTTCAGTGAGTCATGAGCGTGCCACTGCACTTTAGCCAGGGTAACAGAGTGACGCCCTGTCTGTAAATAAATAAAAAATAAAAAAATTAATAATAAAGGGAGTGCATGAGCACTGGCGAAGGGCACTTTGGCTGCATTAAGCACTTGCAATTCTGAGGTAATTAAATTCTGTACAGGCTCCTGGTTGCAATATACGGTAATACATTGTGCTTTGTATTGAGATGTCCTGGACTCGCACACACAAACTCAGAGCTATGAAATAAAGATACTGTAAAAATACAACAGACCAGAGTCACAGATACACAGTCTGGGAAAGTAAAACTTCACTTTGTGAGTCTAATTGCAATGCGTTTAGACATATTTATATATAATGGGGCCAAAAATCATCTCTTTTACAAATTAGATTCGTGACCATTCAGGGGCTACCAAGATTGTGCTACCCACTGTAGCACAATCGGAGACCCACGCCGAGGCTGCGGGACTCGTGGAGACCCTCGACACAAGAACCCCAGGTGCCTATACCCGATTCCATTTTCAGTTCAGGCCCAAATCCCCGGGGGATTGATCGGGGCAGAGGAGGAGCTCAGTGGCTGAGGCTGACCGCGGGCTTGGGGACAGGGTCTCCCACCTCCAGTGGATACACAGCTGCGACCTGGACCCGGACCGGAGCCTCTTCGCGCGGGGATGAACATACCCTACGATGGCGCCAGTTACCTCGTCCTAAACCAGGAACTGCTCTCTTGGACCGCAGCGGAAAAGGCGGCTCAGATGTTCTGGAGGAGGAACATGCAGAGCTGCTCAAAACCTACCTGCCGGGAAGGTGGGCGGAGTGGCTCAGCAAAGGCCTTAAGAATGAGAAGGAGAGGCTGCAATGCGCAGGTACCAGAGGCCACGGGTCGCCTCCCTGATCTCCTGCAGATATCCCTGAGCCACCTTCCAAAAGAAGGGGAGGAAAATGGGACCAACGCTAAAATATCCCTCTCCCTCTTGTCCTGAGGCAGAAGAGTCCTCCTGGGTTTCTAAATCCTATACCAGAGAGTGACTGAGGGCCCGCCCTGCACTCTGGGACAATTAACGGATGAAGTCTCTGCGGGAAAGGAGGGGAAGACAATCCCTGGAATACTGATACGCGGTCCCCTTTGACCCCCCAGCAGCCTTGGGCACCAGGAATTTTCCTCTCAGGCCTTGTTCTCTGCCTCATACTCAATGTGTGTGGGGGTCTGATTCCAGCTCTTCTGAGTCCCTCGGCCTCCACTCAGGTCAGGACCAGAAATCTCTGTTTCCGCCTCAGACACTAGAACTTTCCAAGGAATAAGAGATTATCCCAGGTGCCTGTGTCCAGAATGTTGTCTGGGTTCTGTGCTCCCTTCCCCACCCCAGATGTCCCATCCATTCTCAGGATGGTCACATGGGTGCTGTGTCTCATGAGGAATGCAAAGTGCCTGAATTTTCTACCTCTTGCCCTCAGATCCCCTGAAGGCACAGGTAACCCTCCACCCCATCTCCAACTATGAGGCCACGCTGAGGTGCTGGGCCCTGGGCTTCTACCCTCTGGAGATCACACTGACCCAGGAGCGGGATGGGGAGGACCAAATTCAGGATGCAGAGTTTGTGGAGACCAGACTTGCAGGGTACAGAACCTTCCAGAAGTGGGCAGCTGCAGTGGTGTCTTCTGGAGAGAAGCAGAGGTACACATGCCATGTGCAGCACGAGGGGTTGCCTGAGCCCCTCACACTAAGATGGGGTAAGGAGACGAATGAGGGGTCATGTCTCTTCTCAGGCAAAGCAGAAGTCCTTCTGGAGCCTTTAAGCAGGGTCAGGGCTGAGGCCTGGGGGTCAGGGCCCCTCACGTTCACCTCCTTTCTTAGAGCTGTCTTCCCAGCCCATCATCCCCGTTGTGGGCATCATTGCTGGCCTGGTTCTTCTAGTTGCTGTAATCACTGTAGCTGTGGTCGCTGCTGTGATGTGGAGGAATAAGATCCCAGGTAGGAAAGGGGTGAGCTCTGAGTTTCCTTCTTCCATTGGTGGATTTCAAGCCCCAGGTAGGAGTAGGCTCATATCTTGCCTAGTTGTGAGGCACCATCTCCACACACATTTACCCTGTTCAGAGGCCCTGTCTATCAACGCTTACTCTTTTGTAAAGCACTTGTGAAAATGAAGGACAAATTTATCACCTTGATTGTGGTCATGGGAACCTGACTCCCAGCAGTCACAGGTCAGGGGAAGGTCCCTGCTGAGGACAGACCTCAGGAGGACAATTGGTCCAGCCTCAACACATCCTCTTCCCTTGGGTTTTCTGATCCTGACCTGGGTCTGTAGTCACAGTTCTGGAAACTCCTCTAGGATCTCATGCCCTGCCTCCTCCCTGGCCTCTCACAGTTTGTTTTCTTTCCACAGATGGAAAAGGAGGCAGTTATGCTCAGGCTTCATGTAAGTGTGGTAGGGGTGGGAAGAGTGATCCCTGAGATCCTTGGGATAGTGTAGACAGGAGCCCATGGGGGAGCTCAGCCACCCCAAAATTCCTCCTTTAGTCACATCACCTGTGGGCTCTGACCAGATTTTGTTTTTGTTCCACCCCAAACAGGAACAGTACCCAGGGCTCTGATGTGTCTCTCAAGGCTTGTAAAAGTGACACCTTAGAGGGCCTGAAGTGAAAGAGGAGTTGGGCAGAGGGGACACAACTAAGCTCTGGAGATTCTTTGATTTGGAATTTTTCAAGGTGTGGTGGGCTGTTCAGTGTCACAACTTACTGTGACTGACCTGGATTAGTTTATGACTATGTTTTTTCTAAGATTGCCTTGTGAGGGACTGAGATGCAAGATTTGTTCATGCCTCCTCTTTGTGACATTAAGAGCCTCTGGCTTCTCTTTCTGCCAAAGGGTCTGAATGTGTCTATGTCTACAGTAACAGGTAAGAAATGGGAGACCAGCCCATCCTCATGTCCACCATGACCCCTGATATTGTTTGGATCTGTGTCCCCACCCAAATCTCATGTTCAATTGTAATCCCTAATTTTGGAGGTGGTGTCTGGTGGCAGGTGATCGGCTCATGAGGATGGATCCTTCATGAACGGTTTAGAACCATCTCTTTGGTGCTATTCTTGTGATAATTCTCATAAGATCTGGTGTTTAAAAATCTGTGTCACCTCCCTGCTCTCTCTCCCTCCTGCTCCAGGCATGTAAGTAATGTCTGCTTCCCCTTAGCCTTCCAGCATAATCGAAAGTTCCCTGAGGCCCTCTCATAAGATGAGCAGATGCCAGAATCATACTTTCTGTATAGCCTGCAGAACCATGACCCAATTTAAACCTCTTTTCTGTTTTTGTTTTGTTTTTGTTTTTTGAAGGAAAATTTATATTATTTTAATTATTTTTACATACAGAAAACTCAACAGCATACATTTCACCCAATTTAGTGGCATGTTCTTTACCCTTTGCCTTTTTGAGCTTGGCAATGCAAACCACATACTTGAGACCCAGGACACTGTCTCCCCAGTGATGGCGGATCTCATCGTATCTGTCATTGTAATTGGTCCTGAGAACTCCCACCAGCTTAGCCAAAGCACCTTTGTCTTCCGAGTTAACCTGTGTGAAGGTGACAGTGGTGCAGGTCTTCCTATGGACTAGATGTCCCAGTCTTGCCTTCCCTTTGATAATGCAGTAAGGGACCCCATTTTATGACACAGGACAGGCAAGAAGACAACCAGCTTGATGGGATCTACATCATGTGCTATCACCACCAGCTGAGCTTTCTTGTTCTCCACCAAGGTGGTGATGGTGTTAACTCCTGCTCGAAGGACAGGTGGACTCTTAGTGGGGAATGTCCCCTTTGCCAGCAGCTTTCTTCTTGGCCCGGGCCAACAGCCTCTGCTTCTTCTCTTGGTTTGTCTCTGGTCTGTATTGTGGGCCAGCTTAAGCAGCAGAGTAGCTGTTTGGCTGTCTGGTGCCTGGGTGAACTGGTTAATCTCAGGAGGCACTTTCAGCCACTTATAGAGGATGGTTCTCTGCTGCTGCAACCTGATATAGCAGGGCCATTTCACAAAGTGGGTGAGGTCTCTTTTGGGCTGGATATCCTGTCCAGTGCCAAAATTCTTAGGCCTTTTCTCAAACAAGGGATTTACCACTTTCTTGGCCTCCTGCTTCTTCACGACAGCAGGGGCTGGAGCCACCTTCTTCTCCTTGGCCTTCTTTCCTTTTGGCATCTTGGATGGTGGGAGGAGAAAGAAAGAAACCTATTTTCTTTATAAATTACCCAGTCTCAGGTATTTCTTTATAAAAGTGTGAGAATGAACTAATTCAGAAAATCGGTACCAGGAGTTGGGTATTACTATAAAAATTCTTGAAAATGTGGAAACAGCTTTGGAACTGGGTAACAGGCAGAGGTTGGAAGAGTTTGGAGAGTTCAGAAGACAAGAAAATGGGGGAAAATTTGCAACTTCCTAGAGATTTGTTAAGCTGTTGTGACCAAAATGCTGATAGTGATATGGACAATAGAGTCCAGGCTGATAAGGTCTCACATGGAGATGAGGAATTTATTGGGACCTAGAGGAAAGGTCACTTTTGTTATGCATTGGCAAAGAACTTGGAGGCATTGTTCCCCCTCCCTAGGGATCTGTAGAACTTTGAACTTGAGAGTGATGTATAAGGGTATCTGGTGGAAGAAATTTCTAAGCAGCATAGCATTCCAGATTTGGCCTGCCTGCTTGTAATAGCCTATGCACATATGTGTGAGCAAAGACATGACCTGAAACTGGAACTGATATTTAAAGGGGAAATTTAATATCCAGGACAATTCCTAGTGGAGCTGCAGGAACAGGACCCCTGCCAAGACTACTAAATCATAGAGCCACTGGCAATATGCAAGCTCAGCCTGGAAAAGCCATAAGCATTCAATGTTCACCCATGAGAGCAGCTATATGGATTATGTTCACCAAAGCCACGGATATGAGGCTGAAGATGGCATTGTGAGTCCATTGCTTGCACCAGCCAGTGTGCTCAGGGTTCAAGATATAGAGTCAAAGGAGATTATTTTAGAGCTTTAAGTTTTAATGTCTGCCATGATGAGTTTCAACCTTGTGAGGACACTGCATTCATTTCTTTTGGTCCATTTATTTCTTTTGGAATGGAAATGTATAGGAAATGTCTCTACCACTGTTGTATTAATATTTTAGAAGTAAATAACTTTTTTTAATTTTACAGGTGCACAGCTATAAGAACTTACCTTGAGTCTCAGATGAGACTTTGGAATTTAGAGTTGATGCTGGATCAACCCAACACATTTTGGACAATTGGGAGAAGATTATTGTCTTTTGCAATGTGAGAAGAATGTGAGCTTTGGCTGGCTAGGGACAGGATGCAATGATATAAATATTTATCCCCAGATACCTCATGTTAAAATCTGATCCCCAATGTTGGACTTAGGGCCTAATGGGTGGCGTTTGGGTCTTGGGGGCCAATCTTTTATGAACAGAGAGATACTGCCCTCTCTCGGGAGTCAATGAATTGTTGCCCTATTAGTTTCCAAAAGAGCTAGTTGTTAAAAGAGTCTCGCACCTTCCTACTCCCTCTGTTCCTCTCTTACCACGTGACTTTTGCACATACCAGCTCCCCTTTGCCTTCTGCCATGAGTGGAAGCAGCCTGAGGCCCTCGCTAAATGCTCAAACATTTCCAGACATCAGAATCCTGAGCCAAATGAACCTTGTTTATATAAATTAGTCAGTCTCAGACATTTCTTTATAGCAACACAAAACGGAATAAGACAACCCTCTCATCATAGGTATGTGTCTGTGGCAGCCAGCCCCCATTCTCAAGGTATCCAGGATCCACTCAGCCAAGAGTCCTTTCCTCAGTATTCTAAAGACACTCTAATCACTCAAGAGATTCTAAGGTTTTTAGGAGAAACCAGGGACAAAACTAAATGTTTTTGTGATAACTCATATTACCCCCTTTTCTTTGACCACATATTTTTCATACGAAAAGGATTATAACAGTAAAGAAGCATTGGCATATTATCCAAGTCTCATTCGGTCATTCAAAATTAGGCCAGTTTATCATCCTCTTGTATGAATATGTCTCCCAGAATGACATCACTCAGCTTTGCAGACACCATTCAATCTTATCAGGTTCCAAAAACAAGAATGGTCTCAGGGACATACAGCTTCACCCTTTTAGGCATCCAGTATAGTTGACCTAAGAGACAACATCTCTTGCTCACACCACTTTTGAGGAGATAAGCTAATATTGAATTTTCCTCATTACATAACCCTTTGATTTATTCACCTACCCTCAGCCACTATTCCTCCTTCTGTCCCTTTATATCAGTCTTTTCCAGTTCTAGAAGTGACATTAGGTTTGGCTGCTGTGCTGGCCTAGACTGCATGCAGCAATAGTATTCTACCATGTCTTCTCTTAATCTACTCTTGATCATAGACAGTAGGTTACATAGGTTAGGAACTAGTGCAGGCTATCTGACCACCAGTCTACGTAGCTCTACTTACAGTTAATCCCGACTTTGCCAGATGAAATGAAGGCACAGCGCAATCCTTGATTTGCTTGGGAATTCTTACATAAAGGTATAAAAATATAGTTATGGTTTTTTCCTTAGGGATAATTCCTGTTTCTGGCAGTTCGATTTGCATCCCTGTTCCTGGTACCACTGCACCCTGTGTAAAAAAAGAAATAAGAAATGAAGTGTAGTCATTATTCCAGCATCCTCCCCTTAAGAAGAATTGTATGTACAGTCATAACAGCATCACCCTGATCCATCAGGAAAAAGAGAGGAAGCTACCTAGTGGAGTCAGTTTCGCAGCTCCACCCATGTTGACAGTAAGCACATTCATGAAGATATAAAAGCCAGTCCTTCATGTTTATATTGCCCAACAATTATATTGGCAGTTTTTAGACAATTAGACAACCAATGTTTCAACTGACTATTTCTTTTTCTTTTTTTTTTTGAGATGGAGTCTCACTCTGTCGCCCAGGCTGGAGTGCAGTAGTATGATCTCGGCTCATGCAACCTCTGCCTCCCAGGTTCAAGCAATTCTACTGTCTCAGCCTCCCGAGTAGCTGGTAATACAGGCGCCCACCACCACACGCAGCTAATTTTTGTATTTTCAGTAGAGACGGGGTTTCACCATATTGGCCAGGATAGTCTCAAACTCCTAAACTCAGGTGATCCGCCCGCCTCGGCCACCAAAAGTGCTGGGATTACAGGCATGAGCCACCGCGCCTGGTCAGCCATTTCAATATTCTATCAAAGTTTCCCCTGAATAGTACATTTCCCTGTGCACTGTTGGCTTTTTAAGGCTGTAAAGTGTGTTTTCTTGTGTAAAGAAATGTGACTCAACAGTCCAAATTGGTGTAATCTCCATTTTTCTGGTTCTTGTATAGCCTTTGAAGCATTGACATCTACCCCTGGTTGATCATAGCCCAATCCAGAGTCAGTGACTTCCCTGTCAAGATCCATTGGCAGCTCCTTTGGGGTTGCTGGCATTAGTCTGGCTTGCCAGCTATGAATGATCAAAGCTTCCCACTACAGAATCTGTCACAGAGCTGCCTCTGTCTGTTTTCTTGACCAAAAGTCAAAACAGACAGTATGAGAAATGAGATAAATTACCAAAATTGTGAACACAAGAGAGAGTATCACTAATGACCCTTTAGAAGTTAAAAAACATTATAAGTTAATACTCTGAAAAACCTGAAGCCAATCAGTTAGACCACTTAGATAAAATGGACAGATTTATACAAAGATAGAAATTGCTGAAACTGACTCAAAAATAAATAGAAAATCTGAAGAGAACTGTACACTAAGACAGTAATTTTAAAACCTTCTCACAAAGAAATGCCAAAGCCCAGATATCTTCACTGGTGAATTCTATCAAATATTTCAAAAGCTCTTTCAGACAAGAAGAGAGGAGGCAAGACTTTCTAGCTCATTTACAGAACTGACATTACCCTAATATCAAAGTCAGAGCAAGACTGACAAGAAAAGAATACCATAGACCAGTGTCACCAATAAACATAAATGAAAACATCCTTAACAAACATTGGCAGACAATAGAAAGCCACGTAAAAAAGGATTACATTCCATGACCAGTGGGATTCATCCCAGGAATATATGGCTGGATTAACAATTAGAAATCAATTAATGGAATGCACTGTAGTAAGGGAATAAAAGACATAATTATCTCAAAAGATACAGAAGAAACAGTTGACAAAAATGTTAACACCACTCATGTTCATAAGTTTCAACAAAATAGGAATGGAGGGGACCTTCCTCACCCTGATAAAGGGCATCTATAAAAAACCCACAACTAAAATCATGCTTGCTGAAGAAAGACTGAATGCTTTTCTCCTAAGATGGAGATCAATGCAAGGATGTCCCATCCAACACTTCTACTTAACATTGTACTGGAGATTGCAGCTGGTGCAATAAGGCAAATAATTAAAAGTTAAAGGCATCCAGATAAAAAGGAAAACATAAAACTCTATTCACAGATAACATGACCTTGTCTGTAGAATTCACAAGCAGATAAAAGCCTGCTAGCACTAAAAAATGAATCCAGAAGCTCCCATAGGATATAAAATCAAATTAAAAATTATTAACATATTTCTCTATACAAGCAATTAAAATCTAAACTTTCCTATCACAGTAGTTACAAAAAGAGAGAAATAGGAATAAATTTAGGAAGACAGCAGAGTTTGTTGAAAACTACAAAACATTACTGAGAGAAATTAAAGGTCTAAATTCATGGAGAGATGCGGTTGGAAAGCTCAATAATATTGTTAAGATGACAATTCTCCACCAAGAGATCTATAGGTTCAGTACAATCTCTATCAAAACCCCAGCAGGCATTTTATGGAAAATTGACAATTTAATCCTAAAAATGTATGTGAAAATGCAGAGGATGCAGAAAAGCCAACGCAAATTTGAAAAAAAATGGAATGTCATATAAAACTACAATAATCCAGACAGTGTGAAAGCGAGAGACACAGAGATTAATGAACAGAAGTGAGAATCTAGAAAGACATTCTTACATTTTTTTGTCAATTGATCTTCAATGAAGTTGCATAGGTAATATGATGTGACACTTATCGCCATATAAAATATAAGCTCAAACAAATTAGAGACCTAAACAGCTAAAATTTATAAGTTAAAACCATAAAATTTCTAAAAGAAAATATAGGAGAAAATTTTTGTGACATTGAGTAGTTAGGCAAAAGATTCTTACATAAAATACAAAAAACATGATCTACAGATGAAAAAAAAGTGAGAGACAAATTGGGCTTAGTTAAAATTTAAAACTTAAGTGCTCCAAAAGACAATATTGAGAAAATGAGAAGACAAGCCGTAGATTGAGAGAAAATATTTCACAATTTATCACAAATTACATCTGTGATGAAGAACATGTATCCAGAATATGTGAAAAGTTCTTAAACTCAATGTAAGAAGATGAGCAACTCAACTAAAAATGAGCAAAACATGCTCAACTGACTTTTACAAAAGCACAAAAGCAATTCAATGAAGGAAGGAGAGCTTTCCCATCAAATGGTGATGGAACAACTGGACAACCACAGTGGAAAAAAAATAACCTGAGCCAAAACCTCATGCTTCATACAAAAATAACTCAAAATGAGTCACAAGCTTTCATGTAAAGCACAGAGTTAAAATGGCAAACATTGAGCCAGGTGTGGTATCACAGGCCTGTACTCTCAGCTACTCAGGAAGCTGAGGTGGGAGGATCCCTTGAGCCCAGGAGTTCAAGGCCAGCCTAGGCAAGAATTTTTTTTCTAAAATAAATAATAAATTTAAATTTTTAAATTACAAACCTTTTAAGAAAAAGTCATCAGAGCTAAGACTGGACAAAGAGTTCTTAGACATAACACCAAAAGTATGATCCATAAAAGTTAATAAATTGGATCTTATCAACACTAAAAACTGTTGTTCTGTGAGAGACCTATGAAGAGCATAAAAAGACAAGCTACAGAATGAGAGAAGATATTTGCAGGCAACATATTCTGTAAAGACTGTATTCAGAATATATGAAGAAATTTTAAAACTCAACAATAAAAATGAAATCCAAATACAAAACAGGCAATGAGCAAGACACGAACAGACAAATTTCACTGAAGAGGATAAATACTGGGCTAATAAGCAGATGAATAGGTGCTCAACATCATTATCCAGTAGGAAAATACAAATTAAAACCACAGTGATGAGAATGGCTGAAATACAAAATAAAGGTAGCAACAGATGCTGGCAAGGACGCAGAGGAACTGGGACACTCTTATATTGCTGGTAGGGATGTATTTTAAAATGGTACAGCCGCTCTGGAAATGAGTATTGCAGTTTTCTTCAAACCGAACATGCAATTTACCTTATGACTAGCAATTGCCCTCCTAGGCACTTATTTCAAACGAGGGAATACTTTATGTTCACGAAAATCCTGTGCACAAATACTCTTCCAGCTTTATTCATGATACCCCCAAACAGGAATTAATACAACTGTCTTTCCGTAGGTGAGTGAGATCTGCTGGTTGAAATAATAACTGAGTCACACAAGTGCCCTTTCTCAAGGCTACCATCCTGCTTCTCTGTGCAGTAAGTGTTTTATGCATATTTCCCATTTTCTCACAAAGAATATTAAACACGTATACTCAAGGATCAAACTTTAACCCACATAAATTTTTTACTGCTCCATCAAAGACACTCTTAAATGGGACTGCAGTTTGGAGCCACTGCCTGGTTCTGCTAAGGTGCTGGGTGTGTTACCGACCTTGGCATTTGCAGCACTATGGAAAAGTCAACACAATGAAACAGGCAGATGGCATCTTGGTATTACTGTGAAAACAAGTCTGCCTCCAGGACTCTCTGAAGGCTGCTCAGGGGACACACTTTCAAAATGGCAAAGATCAATTATGGTTCCTAGTGGGACACAACCCCTAGCCTATTCCTATTCAGCACTGTCTTGCTCTCTATTTTCCCTCATTCTTCCAACTTATAACTGTATAAATTTTCAAATGTGCAAAGAAGCTGAAAGAATGGTGCAGTAAAATTCAAGCTACCACTCTGCCGTATTTGGTTAATATCTCTTTATATACATAAAAGGAGAGTGTGAAATGATGGACCATGGAGACCCAGAAGGGTAAGGGGGTTGGCAGTTGGTGTATAATAGAGGGGTTTCTTGATAGGTACAATGTGCTTGTCTCCAGTGCTGGATGCTCTGAAGGCCCTGACTTTACCACAACCAATATAGCAATGTAGCAAAATTGCACTTGTGCCTCATGAATATATATGAATCTAAGAAATAAAAAATAAAATAACATAACATGTTTCTTTATAGATACAGGTAGACATGTTTGTATAGCATGTGTGTGAATGTGTGTGTGTGCCTGTGTGTGTGTGTCCACCTGTGTGTGTGTTTCCGTGTAGAGAGGCAGCACAAATTAAGAGATTAAGATTTTGTGACTGAGCTATTCCAAAGTAACTTAAACATAAAACACACATGGATAAATGTGTCTGTGACAACAAACCTGAATACAAACATGAAATAATATGTCTATAAACACATCTCTAGATAGATAGCTTATGAATGAATTCCCTACCCCAGCTCCCTTACTGGTTGCCCTGTGAACACAGGGAGTCAGGGAACAGGACCCAGCTAGGGTCCCTCATCCTTCTCTTGCATCCAGGCAGGTCCTGCATCCACTCTGGCTGCACAGAAGGCTCCCATCCCTGCCTTGGTCTGTTTCACAGGTGCTCCCCTAACTCTCTCTGCCACCACTGCTTTATCTGGATGGAGCTGAGGCTGCCCTGACCAAGAACAGCACCACCCATCTGTGTCCCCAAGACCAGGAAGTTAGGAGGAACCACACAACAAGGTCAGGAACTATCCCACCTCCCCAATCAGTCTGAACTGATGGCGGGAGATGCTGATGCTTGCTTTACTCATCCTCAATCCCAGCTCACTTATTCTTCATTAATTCAATCCAATCTCCCCAGCAGTCACTTCACCCCAGAAGCTGACTGACCTCTACTCTTCGTAATCAGGAAACCACAAAGCACTCTCCGTCCCCTCCCTGATATCACCCTTCAGCTCTACATCATCATATGTGGGCTCTAACTCTGCAGGGAAGATGTTGCCCCACAGGGTCAGCCCCTGAACACTGGCTGCAAATGTCCCCCCATCCCTTCCCAGCCCTTTCGGTGTTGCTGTGAATCTGTCCCTCACTGAGAACTGGCGGGGAGATGTGGGGGAGGAGGGAAGGTTTCTTTATGCTGTGTCAAAGCATGGAGACAGACCTCTCCTTCTCTCCTGAACCTCACACTATCCCTTCCCAGACACTTGAAATAAAACGCAGACCAGAAATGTCTATTTAAGAGTTAAATATCTATAGTATAAAATATGAAGACAGAGTAGAATGGGGTAATGCAGGAGAGCATGACAGAGATGACAGGACCTCAAGGTGCCAGGAAAGCTGGTGCTGGGCCAGGACCAAGGAGCCATCAGCAGGACACTCACTCATAATGCTCACCTATAATAATACAATTACTGCATATGTAATATATCAAAATATAATAAAATAACAAAATAACAAAAATAATATGGCACAGCTGCAAATACCCCATATATACTAACCCTTTTCATTCATCCAACCACAAGAAATAAATGCTCGTAGTTTCCCCATGTCATAGATGAGGAAAATGAGGCACAAAGAGAGAACATGCTGGTGAGGCCTAGGCAAGGAGTTGAATCCAGATCGCCTGGCTGCAGAGTCTAGTTGCCCTCAGTGGAGCCAGCGAACCCAGGAGCTGACACCAGAGACTGAGATCTCAGCTGTGCACTGCCCTGGTGGTCTCCTGTCCCAACCAGGTGTTGACCCAGGCCTTGCAGGCTCACGCGCTCTGGAAAAAAGAGAGAAACCAATAAATGCTCCCCTGGGTGCAGAGTGCTGCTTTTTATTCCCTGAGGAGTTCTCCCTCCTCAGTCACTCCCAAATCAGATTTACCCTTTCTCTGACGGAAGATGACGTCCCCACTTTTTTCTCCCTCCCATCGCACTTTTCCAGCCCCTGCCAGTCCCCTCCCGTGACTCCATCAACATCAGCACCTGCCCTGTGTCCACCATCCATTGTGCAGTGAGTGAAAGGACCCAGGACTAAGGAACAAGACCCAAGAGGAAACTCAGTGCCCTTTCCTCCTCCTCTCAAGCCTGACCAGCCCTGACACAGTGAGAGGCCTCCCCAAAGAGAGGCCCTGGCCCTGTCTCCATGTCCTTCCAGGTCTGGGCCAAGTCACACACAGTCCTTCTCTTCCTGAGACCCCAGGCCCTCTTCACCTGCAGAGGCACCTGCATACCAGGGCAGGCCCTGCACACTGTGGGTTCTGCCCTCCACCAGCAGCTCACTGTTCCTCCCCTCCCAGCTCTGAGCAGACAGCTCCTAACAAGAGATCCTATCAGGAAGCCCTGGGGCTCACAGGCCCGGCATGGAAATATGTGGCTGCCATGGAGTCTGCACCTGACCTGATGCTGGGGACCCCCTTGCTCAAGGAGGCCCAGCCTGCCCTCCCCATAACCTGCATTTGGGCTGTGCTTGCTCCTGCCTGTCCACTCAACCCTGGAAATGCAGCTCCACCCCAGGGCTGCTGCTTGGTGAGGCTGCAAGCCCTTCCTGTCCCATTCCTAACAGGGATTCCACCCAGGCCACTGCCATCGCAGCTCACAGGGGATCTTCTTCGCCTGTGGAGTAGGGGGTTTCTTCAGACCCCTCATCCTGAGGCTGCCTCTACGCACCCTCTGCACCTGGGGATTGCCACTGCCACAGGCACTGTCTCCCACATGGACCCTCTGAGAAACGAAGCCCCAAATTTGACTTCCTGTTCTATTCAACATCCTTTACAACATCAGTATTGGGGGAAATCCTATTAAGATTATCCAGCTGAAATTATGTTGATGGACACCAATACTTAAAGCAGGAATTTTGAGAAACTAACATGTAATTTTCATGCCTTTTTCTGGCCAATGTCCCAGTGACCTACGAGAAAACCTTTCCTGCCTACAGGGAACCAGAACTGACAATCCCTCTATAGGAGACACCGCAGGTGAGAGCAGGAGCAACCACAGACCTGCACTGCCCGTGCTGTGGTTGCCTCCTGGACGGGGCCCTCTTGCTGCAGGGCAGGGGATGAACCGTCCCATCTGCCCAGGCCTGAGTGGCCAACTAACTGTGCAATTAGGTTCAAGGATGAGTCACCACCACCTCACTGGCCAGACACACGGAAGTGGAGAAATGGCAGAAAGACTCGGGTTTCCTGGACACCCCAGACTCTCACTGTCCCCTGCACTGCCTCTGTCTTTGCAGAAACTCAAAACTTTCTGCTTGCTCTTTTCCTCTCCCCTCAAACAACCTGACTGTGGGGGAAATGATTCTGACTGTCTCTTATTGTAAACTTACCAGGCAGCGACTACACTAAGAACAAAAACATTGGCTCAGGAAAGGCAAGGTGAGGCCACAGAGCACAGAACAAAGCCCAAAAAACAGCCCACTGGGTACTATGACCCTCGGGGGCTGGAAAAAGTAACACCTGGACATGGGATGAAAACAGGGACCACAGCTGCCCTGACAGAGGGCTGGTCCCCACTCCCCAAATAGCCCAGGGACATCTGCTTATCAACTGGTCCATATTATCTGCAAGGAAACACAGGGAGACAGGGGCCATATGGTGGGAACCCAGAAAAAGCACGGTCTCGAGGGACCCAGAGGACGTGACACCCCTGAGACAGCTCCCAGATGAGGCATATGGGGAGCTGCAAAGTGGACAGAGGATGGCCATGTGCACTCAGGACTCTCCCTGTTACAAGGGGACCTCAAAGGGGCTGTACACATGGGGGCCCTCATTCTGGGCCTCGTGGGTCTTTTTCTTGATGTCCTCCTGATGGCTGGAGAAACAGGGGAGGGGGATGCAGAGAGGAAGGGACTAGAGGCACCACCTCTCCTTGGATTCCTCTCCAGTTTCTAGCCCTCCCTAGATCACATCTGCCTTTACTATTTGCTCCCTCTGAGATAGTGATCATCCAGGCCCTCAGCAATCAGCACGCAATTCCCAACTCACCCACCTGGATGCGACCTGGTAAGCCTGAGAGACAGAGACCGGGATGGGGACAAAGCAGGCACCACGGCCCTCCCTGCTGCCCACTCCTCACCTGCAGCAGGAGGAGGCCACAGCTGGATGTTCGAGGGCCTTGGCCCAGCCCTGGCTTGGGCAGGACTTAAGGGTGTAAAAAATAACCTACATGTGATGGTTCATTTTCAATTCTATGTGCCTTAGTATAGGTTTAAGCAGGCCACATGGTCATAAAGAGATAAAGAAGGAAAATGTACTAAGCCACCATCCCCCCTACTTCTTGCTTTCCCTTTCATGCACTGGCCAGGCACCTATCGGTTGGGGCCCCCTCAACGACCCCTTCCCCACCTCACCAAAAAATGTAGTTTAGGCTAGCTTGCAACATAGATAATTGTACCCTTTCTTATCAACTAAGTGCAGCCATTAGGGACATAAGTCAAATGTTTAAAGAGTCCTGAGACAATCACAATGCATTATGGGCTGCAACAAAATGCAGCAAAAAAAAAAAAAAAAACCCTAAGGAACATACTTGAAGTCTTAAACTACCAATAGGTGACATCCGGGAAGATCGTAAGTCCTTGGTACTCAGCTAATGAGCAACTGGGGGAGGGAGTTGCGCACTAGGGAATAAATTGTTGAAACTCTCCCTGGTGTGCCTGCATTCCAGACACCCAATATTGCAAAACCGTCACTAACACTCTCACTTTTGCTGTTCTCTGGGTCTCAGAGTCCATTCTTTGGGTTTGGATGGGTGCGTTTGTTTCTCATAATCTAGTTGCCTATATGGGGATCTCTGTGCTTGTGTGAAGTGAGTGAGACTCTGCCTGAAAGGAGAAACACGTACCAATTGATTCATGTGGCCCATTCTATCTGGATGTCCTGGCTCCTCGCAGAAGCCATAGACAAACTTGAAACTGTTATTCAGGACACAATGAAAGTGACATGGGGGTACGGGAGGGTGGGGTGGAAAGCGGGCACCACAGCAACCAGGCAACCTCATGTGTCTTGTGGAAGGCACTGAAAGTACTGTGGGGGTCACATCACCATGAGAGAGCTGAAGGATGTGGGGTGGTGTTGGGGCTGTCTATCGTCTCTACGTAATCCAGCAAACTGTCCCTGAGGGAGCCTGATGATGCCTAAAGAATGAATGAGATTACTCTAGGTATGGCCAAGTAGGAGTTATAATTGCAGCTTTTATGTTGTCTGGATATCACTGGTAGAGCAGATTAATAAATCCTTGGGCCCACAGTGTGCAGCTGCAGACTTGGTGAGTGCATTCCTTTCCACTCCAATTAGAAAGGGGATATGGAATGATTCACATTCATGTGGGATCCACAACACATTTATTTATCATTTGCCTCAGGGCTATTGTAACTCCTCTGCCCGCTATAGTATATAGTCTTAAGACTACACTAGACATACTGGATATCCTATAGGATATTAAATCAGCTCATTTCATTGACAATTTCATGTTTACTGGGGTGGATGAGCAGCAGGTAGAAACTGCACTGGAGTCCTTGGCAAAACAAGCACACTCCAGAAGGTGAAGGTAAACCTTACAGAGCTTCAAGAGTGGCCACTGAAGTGAAGTTTTATGGGTGAACAAGTGCCAAGTGTTTAGGGGAATGCAGGTGTGTCCCCTCCAAGGTAAAAGACAAACTGTTTCATCTTGCATCCTCACCAGAAGGAAGGAAGCACACTGCCTGATGAGCCTCTTTGAGTTCTGATGACACCACATTCCACATTTAGGTGTGTTGCTTTGGCCCACACTCTAGGTGACATAGGAGGAGGCCACCTTCATGTGGGGCCCACACGGGAAAGGACCTTGCAGCAGATCCAGGCCATGGTACAAGCAGCCAGCATCCCTCAGACCCCTTGGGGCTGGTGGTGCCAGTGGTGGGGAAAGATGCAGGATGGAGCTGAACCAAGCACCAGTGGGAGAGTCACAATGAAGGGCCTGGGATTCTGGAGTAAGATCATGTCATCCACAGCAGAGACATATGCTCCCTGTTAGAAGCAACATTTAGTGTTACTTGTCCTGATTTGATAGAATGCTTGACCATGGGACACCAAACAACAATGTGGTTCCAAGTGGCTGTGTGACCCACAAAGTCATAAATTGCACAGGCCCAACAGCATTCATCAACAGGTGAAAATGGTCCACCTGGGTTGAGCTTGAATCCCTTGCTGACACCCACAGAAAACACCCAAGTCTGAAGTGGCACTGAACTACCAAACAGACAAATGGCAGTTAGCCAGCCTTCACCATGGGTCAGCCCAGGCCTGGTAGGATGGGTGCATGAATGGAGCAACCACAGTGGCAGGCATGAGGCTATGTATGAGGCCAGCAGCACTGACTCTCCCAGCCCTACCAAGGTAGATCCAGCTACTGCCACTCCTGAATGTCAACTCATCAGCATTTGGAGCCCATGATGTGCCCTAGTGGGGCGCTATTTCTTTAGGCGACCAGCCACTAAGTAACAAGTGACTACATTTAGCTACTTCCATCCTGGAAGGGCCAGAGGTTCATCTTCACAGAAATAGGCCCATATTCCATGGGTGGGTTTTCCTGTCTTGCTCTGACACTCAGCCAGCACCACTCTCCGGGTGCTGTTGACATTCCTGATCTGCAGGCTAGGCGGTGCTCCTAGCCCATTCTCTGCCTGAAGGACCCATTTGGCCTGGAAAGTTTTAAAGTTTCCATGGCTGTGGGTTCCACTAATCCTATCACCATCTGCACCACCCAGGAGCTACCAGCCACAAGGAATGCTGGACAGGTCTTCTATAGGCACAACTCAGTGCCAGCCTGGAGGAAGCACTCTGAAAGTGCCATCTTTCAGAACATGGTACATTGTTTGAATCAGAGATGTCTCTATGGTGCTGTGTTCTCAATGGAAGAACATGTAGGTCCAGAAATCAAAAGGTGGAAGCAGGTATGGCTCCATGTCCAATCTCTTAGATTCACCCACTAAGGTATTTTGCCTTTTTTATCTCCCAACAATGGGCTGTGCGGGTTAGGAGGTCCTGGTTTCCAAAGGAGGGTACCCTTAAAAGTAGACAAAAGAGAGCCCATTGAACTACACATTACTTTAGTCACCAGAGAAGTTTGGAGAGCATGTTCCCAGAGACCACATCGTGAGAAGAGGAGTGTCCTTCTCTCCAGGCCCAGGTAATAGGCCCTCATCCCCAGGAGGAGGCATGGCTGCTTTCACACAATGAGGGCAGAAGTGTGTGTGGAAACCAGACATCCACCTGGGAACCTTCTGGGTCCCCTTGCCCCATTGTAAGTGTGAGCAGAATCATCCAGCAATTTAGCCTGAGAGGATTTGATTTCCAAGAACCCAGACCCATCTGGGCAGCAGGTTTGAGTCACACTCCTGGGTAATCTCCCAAGGCCCTGCTCCTGTGCTCTGACATCCTCAGTAGCATTGGTATGGAGGCCCTGCTTCCCATGGGCTGTTCCCAGTCAGTGATGGCTCACACCAGTGACACTAAGGCAGGACATTCCTGGGAGACAGGGGACTCCTCTGATGGCCAATGGTGGCTCCGGGTCTCCTCCATGGCCTTGCTCAACTCTCCTTAGATTGCCTGTGGTCTAGGAAACATCCAGTAAACCTTCTCTCCTTCTGTCCATCACTGGGGGTCACACTTGCATCTCGGCCTGTTGCCTTTCCCAGGGTAACCTGACTCCCTCACAATATCGTCTGACAGGTATGTCCCCTAATAAAATGCTGTAACTTTAACCCCATGATGGCACTTGCTTTTTGGAGGATTTGGACTACAAAATCATTTTCATCTACACACCAGTGTCCTCTTATTCCAATTTGTAAAATCCTTTTGTTTATTCAACTTCTTCTACTTGCGTTGGCTCCATTTTGCTGGTATTTGTATTATGTTTTTGAGTTCGTCAATGTTTGTTGATTTAATCACTAAATTTGGGGGTAGTTTGTTATGCAGCAATGGATAACTAATGAAGCCCTCTTACATTTCCATTATTCTATACAGGTTACGTACATCTGCTTTATTTCCTTCCATTTTCATAATATTGGCCATACGTAGGGTTTCTAGTTTCTCAACGTGTATTCTTTTCTTTATTTTAGTTTCTTTTCTTTTTTGTTCCTTCCCTTTCTCCTTCCTTCTGTCCCTCCCTCCCTCTCTTTCTTCTCTATTTCCATTCAACCTCTCGCCTTCCCTCCTTTTTACTCTGCTTTCCTTCCCTTTTCTTCCCCTTCCCCTTCCTTCTTTTCTTCTTTCACTCCTTCTTCTCTTCCTCCTTCTTTCCCTCCCTTCCTCCATTTTTTCCTTTTTATTATGAAAATTTCCTAACATATAAAATAACCCTATGTGATTGTGCTATAAGTAAGCATTTTCTGAATCTGTATGTCAAAAGTACAATGCCACGGTATATGAGAAACAAGTAAACAACAGAAAGTTATTGACAGAATCTAAATAAAAATGCCTGCTATAATTCTGCAGCCAAGACAGCGGCTTTCAACTCAATTCCTTCAACTCAATGTTTTCAGAACACATCATCAACATCAAGTATTACGCACTTATTTCAAAAGTTTAAGCCAGGCGTGGTGGTTCACGCCTGTAATCCCAGCACTTTGGGAGGCTGAGGTGGGTGGACCACCTGAGGTCAGGAGTTCAAGACCAGTCTGGCTAACATGGTAAAACCCCATTGTCGCAATCGGTTACTATGGGATATAATGAAGGGGGATGAACACAGAAATAAAGACAAAGACAAAAAGATCTGTTCTAAAAGAAGGGGTCGGGGGCTTCTTGCTTCTAGTGATTCCTTCTGGCAGCAAACTCAGTTTGTCAGTTTGCCAACATCCTGCTTTCATGAGAACAGTTTGCTGTTTGCTCATATAGCCTCCAGTGGTATACTGAGTTGATCACGACCCTCATTCTTTCGGCCTCCAATACCCCGACTCTACTAAAAATACAAAAATTAGCTGGGCGTGGTGGTGCATGCCTGTAATCCCAACTACTCGGGAGGCTGAGGCAGGAGAATTGCTTGAACTGGGAGGTGGAAGTTGCAATCAGCCAAGATAGCACCACTGCAGTTCAGCCTGGGCAACAGAGCAAGACTTCGTCTCAAAAATAAATAAATAAATAAATAAATAAATAAATAAATAAATAAGTTTAAGTTGGCACAATCACTTTGGAAATCATATTATTATTATCTAGTATGGTTAAAGGCCATATAACATATCATCCAATCATCCCACTCCTAATCATACACTCTGCGGGCTTTCTTGCCTATGTGCCCAGGAGACAGGCACACTAATGTTTATGGCAAGAACTGGAATCAGCTACATATATATCAATAGAAAACTAGTGCAATTATGGTATAACCATAAAATGTAAACCTTCAGCAGTAAAAACGAATGAATGACAGCCTCCCACACCACAGATAACTCCTATATGTAATGTGCATCATGGGAAAATAAATGCAGTAGGAATTTGCTGTACTGGAAGCTTAAAAACCATCAAAACTAACTAATATTTGGATTGGGGATATATCTATACTTATTACACAAATCCTTAAAGAAACTCTATAATTTCTTTATAGATATTATGAAAACAGCAAGGTACTGGTACAAAAACAGGCACATAGACCAATGGAACAGAACAGAGAACTCAGAAATAAGACCACACATCTAAATAAAGGAATAATAATCACAAGACTCAGGATGGAGTCTCCTTTTGGGGGATGTGAATGGGCAGCAGCCCAGGGTAGTTTACAGGTTCTGTGTTTTACAACAGTGCTGGCTAAAGTCCAAACAACATATCATCCATTCCCTTTTAAAATGGAACTTTTAAAATAAATGTGTAATACTTGATGTTGATGATGTGTTCTGAAAACATTGAGTTGAAAGAATTGACTTAAATTCCTAATTCCTTAAACAGATTTTTTCAAAGTAAAATATGCTTGGTTTTTATAAAAATGAAAGAGAAAAGAATACCAAAGTTCATTGCAAGCATCCTTAACAAGAACTACTTACATTGGAACAAAACCACACAGAATTGTAAGGAGCCATGTGACAGAGAGGACCACGAGGCCATGAAAATGGCTTTGGCTACAAATAGGTCATTTGATCCTTGGCTCACTGGCATCTCTGTAGATTTTCATGTATACAATCTTCAATCTGATGTGCAAGGTAATTCCATCTTGCAAAGGATTTGATGTTACATTCTACCACACATACCACTGAATTAAACTTTTACAGAATTGGAAATGCACATCATTGATCAAAATAAATGAAACAAGAAAAGAGTAGAAAGGAATAACCAGTGACGGAATAGCAATATGAATAGAAAACACAATAGGACTGCGAAAACAAAGAAACAAACAAAACCACTTCAGAAGCACCTGATGGCATGCTATTTAGAATCATAGTGGTGTCCAAATCACTTCTATCACATATCATTCAATATCACAACAAAAGATGTTAAGTGTATTATAGAATGCTGATCGAATAGCCAGTTATTGAAAAAACTAGTTTCTCAATTCGAGCTAACAATTTCGTGATACTGCATCAAACCGAAGTTATTGGCATGCTAGATGTGTTGACTGAAGTATGAGATTCACATCTTTGTAAATGAAAAGCAATCTGATTAAGCAATATTTTTCTAAGTGAAAGCAAGTTAATTAGAGAAAGAAACAAAGGATGGCTACTCCAGAGACAGAGCAGTACTTCTTTTTTTAAGTGTAGGCAAATGTTTTTTGGAAGACGATATTTCAATAAGAAAACTGGCACTAGGGGCATACTTCCCCTAAATTTGAGACATTTTAGACAAAACAAAGACTTATTTTCAAGGCATTATTTTTATAGCACTAAAGTCTTGGAACTATTTGATCTAGTTATTCTATGTTCTCAACTGTGTTAACTCATTGAAGAGAACATTGCTGTTATTAAAGATATTGGCAAGAAAAACTCAGAGATACTGTTGTATCTCCTTTCTCTGCCTCAAACTGTTTTCCCCTCAACACCTAAGGCTCTGTGATGTCTCAAACTTTTAGTCATTAATTTAAAAAGTGAAGCTTATCATAGAATTAGAAAAAAACTATTTTAAAATTCATATGGATCCAAAAAAGAGCTCCTATAGCCAGAAGAATCCTAAGCAAAAAGAACAAAGCTGGAGGCATGAGGCTACCTGACTTAAAACTATACTACAAGGCTACAGTAACTGAAACAGCAAGGTACTGGTACAAAAACAGGCACATAGACCAATGGAACAGAATAGAGAACTCAGAAATAAGACCACACATCTAAAACCCTGTGATCTTCAATGAGCCCGACAAAAATAAGCAATGGGCAAAGGATTCCCTATTTAACAAATGGTGCTGGGAGAACTGGCTAGCAATCTGCAGAAAATTGAAACTGGACTCCTTCCTTACACCTTGCCCAAAAATTAACTTAAGATGGATTAAAGACTTAAATGTAAATCCCAAAACTATAAAAACCCTGGAAGAAAATCTAGGCAATACCAATCAGGACATAGGGATGGGCAAAGATTTTATGATGAAAATGCCAAAAGCAACTGCCACAAAAGCAAAAATTGACAAATGGGATCTAATTAAACAAAAGAGCTTCTGTAGAGTGAAAGAAACTATTATCAGAGTGAACAGACATCCTACAGAATGGGAGAAAATTTTTGCAGTCTGTCCACCTGACAAAGGTCTCATATTCAGAAGCTACAAAGAACTTAAGCAAATTTACACCAAAAAAAAAGCTTCATTAAAAAGTGGACAAAGGACCTAAACAGACACTTCTCAAAAGAAGACATACATGTGGCCAATAAACATAAGAAAAAAAGCTAAACATCACTGATCATTAGAAAAATGCAAATCAATACTACAATGAGATACCATCTCATGCCAGTCAGAATGGCAATTATTAAAAGTCAAGAAACAACAGATGCTGGCAAGGTTGCAGAGAAATAGGAAGGCTTTTACACTGTTGGTGGAAATGTAAATTGGTTCAACCATTGTGGAAGACAGTGTGGCAATTCCTCAAAGATTTAGAACCAGAAATACCATTTGACCCAGCAATCCCATTAAAGGTTATATACCCAAAGGAATATAAATCATTCTATTATAAAGGTATATGCATGTGTATGTTCATTGC
This sequence comes from Homo sapiens, assembly GCF_000001405.40. Lineage (NCBI taxonomy): Eukaryota > Metazoa > Chordata > Mammalia > Primates > Hominidae > Homo > Homo sapiens. The sequence continues at coordinate 1,085,525 of NT_167247.2, forward strand.
AGCACTATTCACAATAGCAAAGACATGGAATCAACCCAAATGCCCACAAATGAGGAACTGGATAAAGAAAATATAGTACATATACACCACGGAATATTATGCAACCATAAAAAGGAATGAGATCAAGTCCTTTGCAGAGATACGAATGAAGCTGGAAGCCATTATCCTCAGCAAACTCACACAGGAACAGAAAACCAAACACTGCATGTTCTCACTTATAATTGGGAACTGAGCAATGAGAATACATGGAACCAGGGAGAGGAAAAACACACAATGGGGCCTGTTCGGGGAGGGCAGTGATGGGGGGATCATTAGGAAAAATAGCTAATGAATGCCAGGGTTAACACCTAGGTGATGGGTTGATAGGTACAGCCAACCACCATGGCACACGATTACCTATGTAACAAACCTGCACATCCTGCACACGTACCCTGGAACTTAAAATTAAATTAAATTAAATTAAATTAAAAGATAAGCTTAAAGCATTAAAGAAAAATAATTAGATAAAAGAAGTCTTTGATTTACAAAATCCTGAAACAATAGTTTTAATTTTGCTTTTAACATATACGTAAGTCCTTTAGTACAGCTCTCTTTCAGAGGTGCAGCTTAATTCCCTCTCTTAAGTGTGGCTTGGACTTAATGATGCACTTCTGATATGGCCTGTCTCTGTGTTCCCACCCAAATCTCATTTTGAATTGTCATGCGAATTCTAATCCCCACATATTGGCGGAGGGACTTCATGGGAGGTGATCGAATCATGGGGATGATTCCCCCAAGCTGTGGAAGTCAGCGGTTGAACCTATTTTTCCTAATGCTCCCCTCAGCACTGCCCTCCCATAATAGGCTCCAGTGTGTGATGTTCCTCTCCCTGTGTCCATGTGTTCTCATTGCTCAGCTCCCAGTTACAAGTGAGAACATGTGGTGTTTGGTTTCCTGTTCCTGTGTTAGCTTGCTGAGGATAATGGCTTCCAGCTTCATCCATATCCCTGCAAAGGACTTGATCTCATTCCTTTTTATGGCTGCATAATATTCCATGGTGTATATGTACCATATAAGGGGATTTTCCCCACTTCACTCTGCATTTTTCTCTCCTGCCACCATGTGAAGAATGACATGTTTGCTTCCCCTTCTGCCATGATTGTAAGTTTCCTGGGGCAGCCTCCTCAGCCATGCACAACTGTGAGTCAACTAAACCTCTTGCCTTTATAAATTACCCAGTCTCAGGTATTTCTTTATAGCAGTGTGAGAACAGACTAATACAACTTCTAACTGATAGAGTAATGTTGACATAACAGTTTGTGACTCTGGGTGTAGAATGTGAAACTCACTATGGCTTCCACCTTCTCTCTCTCTGTCTCTGGGATCATGAGCTCTTGGGGACCCAGCTGCTGTGCCATAAGCAGCCCTGCAGGAAGGTCCATGTGGCTAAGAACTGAGGCCCCCTGGGACCAGACAGCAAGGAACTAGGCTTTTCCAACAGCCATGTGACTAAGCCATGTTTCACGTGAATCCCTAGCCCCAGTGAAGCCCTCAGACGATGCAGCCCTAGGCTGACAACTGGACTGCAACCTTGTGAGAGGCCCTGAGCCAGAAGCACTCAGGAAAACCGCTCCTGGATTCCTGACCATTAGAAACTGTGGGAGATGATGAATATTTGTTGTTTTGAGCTGCTAAGTTTTACATAATTTGTTACACAATAGTAAATAACTAATACATTTTCACAAGAGAGGATGTATTATTACACATTAATTTGCATTTGCTCTAAATTTATCATCATCATATTACTATTTTTGAGACAGGGTCTTGCTCTGTCACCCAGGCTGGAGTGCAGTGGCATGATCACCATGCACTGCAGTGTCGACCTCCTGGGCTCAAGGGATCCTCTGATCTCAGCCTCTTGAGTAGCTGGGACTATAGGCATGAATTAACATGCCTGGCTAATTTTCTAATTTTTTTGTAGAGATGGGGGTTTCACCATGTTGCCCAGGCTGATCTTGAACTTCTGGAGTCAAATCTGCCTTCCTCTGCCTTCAACAGTGCTAGGATTGCAGGCGTGAGCCACCACACCTGGTCTAAATTAACTATAAGATATTAAACATGTAACTTAGTTTTAAAAGGAAAGGAGAATTTCCACGGCTGAAGAGGATGTATTTTATTACTATTCACAATGATCACTTTACTTGAACTTCAATTTCCAACTGTGTCCAAATTAAACACAAAAGGAAGATCCAGCCCTTCCTGGGCTGATTCTATCATGGCTCCCAACAACCAGCTCCTGGTCATTCACCTTCCCCCAGTTATTCAACCAACTCTAATGTAGGTGCTGCTGTGAAGGGATTTAGCAGATATAATTAAGGGCCTCAATTAGTTGACTTTAGGCTGAGTTTATCCTGCTTGGACTGTCCTAATAAGGAGAGTCCTTGAAAGGACTGGGTTCTTCCTGAGCATAGAGATTCACAGTGTGAGAGGGATTCAGCATAAGGGGTTTCCTCCACTGTGGGCTTTGAAAATGAAGGGGCTGTGTAGGAAAGGACGCTGGTGGGCACCATGCATTGAGTGCAGCCCTCCCTGTTCTCTACAGTGACAGCCAGTGAGGAACAGGGACCTCAGTCTTACAACTGCCAGAAACTGCATTCTGCCACCTCTGTATAAGCCTGAAGGAGGATTCAAAATGAAAACACAGGTTTAGGAAGACCGGAACAGAGATTCCATCCACATCATGCCCAGATTTCTGATTAAGAAACTATAAACAACAAATGAGTGTTATTTGGCCAGGCGTGGTAGTGCACACCTGTATCCTAACATTTGAGGAGCTGACACAGGAGGAACACTTGCAGCCAGGACTTTGAGACCAGCTAGGATAATATAGTGAGACACTCGTCTCTACATTTCTTTTTAATTAGCTGGGCATGGTGGCACTTGCCTGCAGTCCTAGCTACTCTGAAGACTGAGGTAGGAGGGTCCCTTGAGCCCAGGAATTTGAGGCTGCAGTGAGCCATGATCATGTGACTGCACTTCATCCTGGATGACAGAGGGAGACTCTGTCTCTAAAAATAAATCAATGAATACAATAAATGGGTGCTGTTTAAAGCCAATGTTTGTGACAATTTGTTACCCAGTCTTATAAAATTCATACACAGACTCAAAAGACTCCTGGAATGAACTGATGAATTGATACGCACACTAGTTACATAAAATAAAATCTTTTTTAACTTTTTTAGTGTTTTACATTTTATAATTTTCTGTGATGCAATTTAATACACTCATAATTCATTCATTCAGCCAAGAAAAAATAATTTAGTCCCTACAATGAACCAGGTATGCCCTCATATGCTCAAGTGCCTGACATTCTAGAAGCTTCACAAGAATGAGGTGGAGCCACTGGAGTGTTTTAGGTGGAGAAATGACACACTCTGACTCATAGTAGCAGGACCACTATAGAGAGAACACTCATGTAGCAGGTCATGGAACAGTGCTAGAGCCACAGTTCAGGAGTGAGAGGGTGGTGGGGATTAAGGGGAGAAGAGGGCCTGAGGGATGAGAGGGACGGAGGGAAGGGCTGGAGGAGCAGGAGGTGAGGAAAAGGAGCAGAGGAAAGAATTCCAAAGCAGCAGAACTCTTAGGTTTAAACACATTGTTTTATAGATTTTAATACATCCATCTACAGAGCCTCGCTGGGTGTTCTTTGCAGTTGGCCTTTAATATCTTATGTGGGTCTGCCTAGAAACTAATTGTTTTTTATGTTAATCAGGTTTAAAAAATACTAAGTATTCCTAAAAAATATACACTCCACTCACATGTGGATACTTCCTAAAAACAGGCAGTGCGTGAGCACTAGTGAGGGGCATTGTGACTGCACTGAACACTTACAACTGTGAGGTGAATAAAGTTTGTGCTGGCTCCTGGTTGCAACATATAGTAACATAGTGTGGTACTTTGTCTTGAGGAGATGTCCTGGACTCACACGGAAACTTAGGGCTACGGAATGAAGGTAAATTTAAAATAAAACAAGCGGGAGTCACAGATACACTGTCTGGGAAAGTGAAACTTAAGAGCTTTGTGAGTCCTGTTGTAATGCTTTTAGATGCATTTATATACCAACAGGCCAAAGTCACATTTTTTACCGATTAGATTCCTGATCATTCAGGGGTTACCAAGGTTATGCTACCCACTATAGTTAATAAACAAAAAGCAAACTGGTCTCTATTCTATCTCATGCACTCAGGCACAACTTTTCCAGATTTAAGGGGGAAAAAAAACCCTGTCTTTACACCTACAATCCCAGGGCGAGCTCACTCTCTGGCAACAAGCTCCCTGGGGTGATTTTTCTTCTAGAAGAGTACAGGAGGACAGGCAAGGAGTGGGAGGCAGGGAGTCCAGTTCAGGGACAGGGATTCCGGGATGAAAAGTGAAGGGAGAGGGCCAGGGACCTTGCCGAGGGTTTCTCCCTGGTTTCTCAGACAGCTCCTGGGCCAAGACTCAGGGAGACACTGAGACAGAACGCTTGGCACAAGAGTAGCGGGGTCAGGGCGAAGTCCCAGGGCCTCAAGCGTGGCTCTCAGGGTCTCAGGCCCCACAGGCGGTGTATGGGTTGGGGAGGCCCCGCGTTGGGGATTCTCTCCTCCTTCTCCTAACCTGTGTCGGGTCCTTCTTCCTGGATACTCACCGGGCGGCCCCAGTTCTCACTCCCATTAGGTGACAGGTTTTTAGAGAAGCCAATCAGCGTCGCCGCGGTCCTGGTTCTAAAGTCCTCGCTCACCCACCCGGACTCATTCTCCCCAGACGCCAAGGATGGTGGTCATGGCGCCCCGAACCCTCTTCCTGCTGCTCTCGGGGGCCCTGACCCTGACCGAGACCTGGGCGGGTGAGTGCGGGGTCAGGAGGGAAACGGCCCCTGCGCGGAGGAGGGAGGGGCCCGCCTGGCGGGGGCGCAGGACTCGGCAGCCGCGCCGGGAGGAGGGTCGGGCGGGTCTCAACCCCTCCTCGCCCCCAGGCTCCCACTCCATGAGGTATTTCAGCGCCGCCGTGTCCCGGCCCGGCCGCGGGGAGCCCCGCTTCATCGCCATGGGCTACGTGGACGACACGCAGTTCGTGCGGTTCGACAGCGACTCGGCGTGTCCGAGGATGGAGCCGCGGGCGCCGTGGGTGGAGCAGGAGGGGCCGGAGTATTGGGAAGAGGAGACACGGAACACCAAGGCCCACGCACAGACTGACAGAATGAACCTGCAGACCCTGCGCGGCTACTACAACCAGAGCGAGGCCAGTGAGTAACTCCGGCCCAGGGAGCAGATCACGACCCCCACCTCCATGCCCCACGGACGGCCCGGGTACTCCCGAGTCTCCGGGTCTGGGATCCACCCCGAGGCCGCGGGACCCGCCCAGACCCTCTACCTGGGAGAACCCCAAGGCGCCTTTACCAAAATCCCCGCGGGTGGGTCCGGGCGAGGGCGAGGCTCGGTGGGCGGGGCTGACCGAGGGGGTGGGGCCAGGTTCTCACACCCTCCAGTGGATGATTGGCTGCGACCTGGGGTCCGACGGACGCCTCCTCCGCGGGTATGAACAGTATGCCTACGATGGCAAGGATTACCTCGCCCTGAACGAGGACCTGCGCTCCTGGACCGCAGCGGACACTGCGGCTCAGATCTCCAAGCGCAAGTGTGAGGCGGCCAATGTGGCTGAACAAAGGAGAGCCTACCTGGAGGGCACGTGCGTGGAGTGGCTCCACAGATACCTGGAGAACGGGAAGGAGATGCTGCAGCGCGCGGGTACCAGGGGCAGTGGGGCGCCTCCCTGATCTCCTGTAGACCTCTCAGCCTGGCCTAGCACAAGGAGAGGAGGAAAATGGGACCAACACTAGAATATCGCCCTCCCTCTGGTCCTGAGGGAGAGGAATCCTCCTGGGTTTCCAGATCCTGTACCAGAGAGTGATTCTGAGGGCCCGTCCTGCTCTCTGGGACAATTAAGGGATGAAGTCTCTGAGGGAGTGGAGGGGAAGACAATCCCTGGAAGACTGATCAGGGGTTCCCTTTGACCCCACAGCAGCCTTGGCACCAGGACTTTTCCCCTCAGGCCTTGTTCTCTGCCTCACACTCAATGTGTGTGGGGGTCTGACTCCAGCTCCTCTGAGTCCCTTGGCCTCCACTCAGGTCAGAACCGGAGGTCCCTGCTCCCCCGCTCAGAGACTAGAACTTTCCAAGGAATAGGAGATTATCCCAGGTGCCCGTGTCCAGGCTGGTGTCTGGGTTCTGTGCTCCCTTCCCCACCCCAGGTATCTGGTTCATTCTTAGGATGGTCACATCCAGGTGCTGCTGGAGTGTCCCATGAGAGATGCAAAGTGCTTGAATTTTCTGACTCTTCCTTTCAGACCCCCCCAAGACACACGTGACCCACCACCCTGTCTTTGACTATGAGGCCACCCTGAGGTGCTGGGCCCTGGGCTTCTACCCTGCGGAGATCATACTGACCTGGCAGCGGGATGGGGAGGACCAGACCCAGGACGTGGAGCTCGTGGAGACCAGGCCTGCAGGGGATGGAACCTTCCAGAAGTGGGCAGCTGTGGTGGTGCCTTCTGGAGAGGAGCAGAGATACACGTGCCATGTGCAGCATGAGGGGCTGCCGGAGCCCCTCATGCTGAGATGGAGTAAGGAGGGAGATGGAGGCATCATGTCTGTTAGGGAAAGCAGGAGCCTCTCTGAAGACCTTTAACAGGGTCGGTGGTGAGGGCTGGGGGTCAGAGACCCTCACCTTCACCTCCTTTCCCAGAGCAGTCTTCCCTGCCCACCATCCCCATCATGGGTATCGTTGCTGGCCTGGTTGTCCTTGCAGCTGTAGTCACTGGAGCTGCGGTCGCTGCTGTGCTGTGGAGAAAGAAGAGCTCAGGTAAGGAAGGGGTGACAAGTGGGGTCTGAGTTTTCTTGTCCCACTGGGGGTTTCAAGCCCCAGGTAGAAGTGTGCCCTGCCTGGTTACTGGGAAGCACCATCCACACTCATGGGCCTACCCAGCCTGGGCCCTGTGTGCCAGCACCTTCTCTTTTGTAAAGCACCTGTGACAATGAAGGACAGATTTATTACCTTGATGATTGTAGTGATGGGGACCTGATCCCAGTAATCACAGGTCAGGAGAAGGTCCCTGGCTAAGGACAGACCTTAGGAGGGCAGTTGGTCGAGGACCCACATCTGCTTTCCTTGTTTTTCCTGATCCCGCCCTGGGTCTGCAGTCACACATTTCTGGAAACTTCTCGAGGGTCCAAGACTAGGAGGTTCCTCTAGGACCTCATGGCCCTGCCACCTTTCTGGCCTCTCACAGGACATTTTCTTCCCACAGATTGAAAAGGAGGGAGCTACTCTCAGGCTGCAAGTAAGTATGAAGGAGGCTGATCCCTGAGATCCTTGGGATCTTGTGTTTGGGAGCCCATGGGGGAGCTCACCCACCCCACAATTCCTCCTCTGGCCACATCTCCTGTGGTCTCTGACCAGGTGCTGTTTTTGTTCTACTCTAGGCAGTGACAGTGCCCAGGGCTCTAATGTGTCTCTCACGGCTTGTAAATGTGACACCCCGGGGGGCCTGATGTGTGTGGGTTGTTGAGGGGAACAGGGGACATAGCTGTGCTATGAGGTTTCTTTGACTTCAATGTATTGAGCATGTGATGGGCTGTTTAAAGTGTCACCCCTCACTGTGACTGATATGAATTTGTTCATGAATATTTTTCTGTAGTGTGAAACAGCTGCCCTGTGTGGGACTGAGTGGCAAGTCCCTTTGTGACTTCAAGAACCCTGACTTCTCTTTGTGCAGAGACCAGCCCACCCCTGTGCCCACCATGACCCTCTTCCTCATGCTGAACTGCATTCCTTCCCCAATCACCTTTCCTGTTCCAGAAAAGGGGCTGGGATGTCTCCGTCTCTGTCTCAAATTTGTGGTCCACTGAGCTATAACTTACTTCTGTATTAAAATTAGAATCTGAGTGTAAATTTACTTTTTCAAATTATTTCCAAGAGAGATTGATGGGTTAATTAAAGGAGAAGATTCCTGAAATTTGAGAGACAAAATAAATGGAAGACATGAGAACTTTCCACAGTACACGTGTTTCTTGTGCTGATTTGTTGCAGGAGAGGAGAGTAGATGGGGCTGCGCCCAGTGGGTGCTCAGGCCACCATGAACTTTATGTGGTCACTGCTCAGCTGGGTCATCTTTGCTGCTCCATTGTCCTTGGCCCTTCAGTAGAACCTTGTCCCACCAGGACCTGTGATCACATAGACTTGGATATCACCTAGGGTGGTCCCTACACGTAGAAGTTCCTGTGTTATCAGAAGAAAAATTTTCAGACCCCTACACCTCTTCCCCTCCTTCCAGGTCTCTTTCAATTGTATTTTCCATCTTTTTTTTTTTTTTTTTTTTTTTTTTTTTTTTTTTTTTTTTTTTGAGATGGAGTCTCACTCAGGCTGGAGTGCAGTGGTGCAATCTCAACTCATTGCAACCTCCACCTCCCGGGTTCAAGCAATTCTCCTGTCTCAGCCTCCCTAGTAACTGGGAGTACAGGCACATGCCACAATACCCAGCTAATTTTTTGTATTTTTAGTAAAGACGGGATTTCACCATGTTAGCCAGGATGGTCTTGATCTCCTGACCTTGTGATCTGCCCGCCTCTGCCTCCCAAAGTGCTGGGATTACAGGTGTAAGCCACCATGCCTGGCTTCCCCAACCTTCTTAAAGGAAGCAGATTCTGAAACTTCCCGAGAGGAGAGGTCCCAGAGTTTTTCATTGTAGTTTACTTTCTGTTGGAACTCCTCTTCTGCTCTCTCTCCTACTCTTCTTCCTGCCCTGAGTTGTAGTAATCCTATTGCTGGCTCCAAACCAAACTCATGGATTTGTAAAGCAGAGTCTAATTTAGATTCATATGTGGTTGGATAATTGGAGCCATAAGCCTTGGGTTATCTTTCCTCAAGAGACAAATATGGTTGTGTGCTGCAGTGTGCAGGAGGATTGGTGTGGGAGGAGGCAGGGAGGGAGGGAGGACACAAAAGCAGCCCTGGTGAGAAAAGCACTGGTGCATTTATATCCACATGAGATAATATTGTTCCACAGCGGCTACAAAATGACATTTGGCCTGAGTCTACATTAATAAAGATATTGCCTTTAGAATGGGGGGCGCACTACAGTAATCATCCATTCAAGTGGCATTTGTTGTCTGCTAGGTATTTGACTGTTTTTGCATTTAGAAAACATCGTTAAAGTAAAAACAGAAAAATTTCTGGCCTTGTCGTGTATACATTCTAGATGCAAGCTTGTCCAACCTGCAGCTCTCGGGATGCATGTGGCCCAGGACAGCTTTAGAATGTGACGATTTTTTTGCTTATCTGTAGTGGCAGATATCATGAAAATTATCCATGCATTTTTTTTCTTTTTTCTATTTTTTTCTGCTCATCAGCTGTCATTAGTGTATTTTTTGTGTGGCTCAAGACAATTCTTCTTCCTATGTGACCCAGGGAAGCCAAAAGATTGGACACCTCTGCAGGCAGATGATATAGTATAAGCAGAGTAGGAACAGAAAATGCTTGAGTTAGAAGGTGGCAAGTGCTGTGTGGCAGGTGATCCAGAGGGTGGGCTGTGGGTACAGGGAGGTGGCTGTTGTGCTGGGTGGTCAGCATGGGCCTTGTTGCAAATGTGACCTTGGAGTAAAGATTTGAGGGATGTGAGGAGTTGTCTACACGGATGTCTCAGAAAGTTCTTTTCAGGCAGGGAAACCTTCAGTGCAGATGCACTAGGGCAGGAAATTGTCTGTGTTCCTGGAAGGAGGAAGAGGCCAGAAGTGTTGAACAGAGAGAAACTGAAATGAAGTCAGAGGTGTGCCCAGAGCAGGTTGCCCTGGAGGGTGTGGGAAGGATGTTGACCTTTGCTCTGAATGACATGGGGAGTTAGAGGACAGTTTTGGAAAGTGGGACATGGTAGGACTTATCCTTTGAAAGCTTCTCTCTGGCTGCTGTGCTGAGAACAGAATTGAGAGGTGGGGGACTAGTGAGGCAGTGGGAAAAACGGTGGGAAAGGAGTGCAGTATTCCAGGATGGAGACGTCGCTTACCTTGACTGGGGTGTGAGCAGGGGAAATAGTGGGAAGTGATGGGATTCTGGATGAATTCACAGCACTTGCTAATGGATTTATCTGTGGTGTGAGAAAGAAGAATCAAGGACACCCACAGTATTGGACTGAGTGAGCAGAAGGGTGGAGCTGCTGTCAGTGGAGATGGGGAGACTCTGGCAGGAGCATACAGAGGAGAGGGCATTGCAGGCATCCAGTGGAGGTGACATCTACGAGGAATGAAGGTGAGGGGCCCAGATGCCTCTGCAGCTACAGATTCATCATCCAATCACTATCCTACTTCCACCACCCCTGTGTCTCAGAGCCAGAGCATTGATTCTCCCCTGTGCTGTCTGCACAGGTAGGTGAAAGTCAGGGAAGTTATGGTCTGCTGTTGGTTATAATAAGTCACAGATTATTGTGCTTTCTCAGATAATTAAAGAAATAATAAGAGAATTTGTAACTAGAACACTTACTGAGAAGACCACAATAATGCAAAGTTTTTTATTCATCTAAAGAAGGCAACAGAAGAAAAATAGTTGAGCAAGAAAGATAATATTAGAAGGCAGTAAATGAAAATGGACAGACTTAAACCCAATGAGGTCAACAATGACATTAAACGTAATGGACTCAGACACTCCAATTACAAGACAAATAGTGCAGAGGGATAAAAATAAATAAGTAAATAAATAAATAACCGTAGGCTATTTACAAAAGCCATAATTTCAGTAGAAGGTACAGAAAAGTTGAAAGTAAAAAGATAGAAAAGAAATACCAGACAAACATTCATGAAAGACCACATGGAGATGCCATTTAGAAAAATTACAGCACATGAGTCTCCTGAGACATAGAGTACATGTAGACAGCTCACAGTGTCTTTTTCCTTTTTTTCAGAGACAGGGTCTGTTGCCCAGGTTGAAATGCAATGGTGATATCAGACCTTACTGTAACCTCAAACTCCTGGGCTGAAGCAATTCTCCTGCCTCAGCCTTCTGAGTAGCTAGGACGAGAAGCCTGTGCCGCCACACCTGGCTATAATGTCTCATTTTCTCATTTGCTGTGGTGTGAACAAGGAAACAATATCATACCATGTATTTGACTTGCAGCAGGTACACAACAAATGTCAGGTGAATGAAGAAATAAAACCACTTAGTAATCCAAGCCATATCTACATTTACATTTTACAGGTGAGGAGCAACATCCCAGACAAGTAAAGTAAAATAAATTGATTTACATCATCCAGAGCAGAATCGAGAACACATTCCCTGTGCTAAAGGAATCAGAACTCTACTAGGGGTCATAGCAGATATCATGCAAGTCACATATGTTAATTACTAGAACAGGAATTGATACATTTCAAGATATACTAAACCAAGGGTTTGGAAGGATTAACTGAATGCAGAAATAAAGGAAGAAAATAGATTTGTTTAAAAGATGGTTAGAATCTTTAAAGAAACAACATCTTTTTAAAGTGGCCTTATGTGGACCAAAGCAGAGATGAGCTCAAATGTCAGGTGGGAAAATGCTTGACTAAATGCAGCTCTAGACCCAAGGGAGACCTAAAAATCCTGGGACATTTTCGGTTGTCACGTGGGGATTGGTGGGAGGGGGTGAGTGGGGTGCTGCTGGCAAACCTCCCACAATGCACAGGACAGAGCACAAGGGATTCTCTGTCTCAAATTCTTAATAGGGCTGCTGTTGAGAAACCCGCCCGAGAGGTAAGTGCTGTAATGTCCTCACCATTTCACAGATTAAGAAACTGAGGCACCAGGAAGAAAAGTGTCAGTAGGACCAGAGCTGAAGGTTGAATCCAGCCCACCTGGCTGCAGGGTCTTGGCTTCCCTGGTTAAGTCAGGGACCCAGGAGCCCACCACAAACAATCCCAGCTGCGCGGTGCCTTCATGGTCTGTGGCGCCCCCTGGTGTTGACACTGGGCCTGTGGCCAAATGAGGCTTGAGGGAAAAGGAAAACGGGTTTAGGTAGCGGGATCTCCTTCAGGCTCTCCAGATTTCAAGCCATGACTTACACTCAGAAAAAATAATGTTCACCTTAATTATCTCCCCAACCCTGTTTTTCCCAGTTCCGGCCAGTACCCTCCCTCGACTCCATCAACATCAGTACCTGCCAGATGCCCAGCACCCACCATGTGAGGAGTGAAAATGCCCCAGGACTAAAGGACAAGATGACGTTCCACCCCAGCCATCCCGCCCCTCCTAGAGCTCTAGCTCTGTGCATTTAGTGCTTAGGCTTTTAACCTGGGGTCCGCGAACCCACTTTCCCATGACACTGCGTGCAGAAGTGATGTTACATGCACACATGACTTCATTACAGGACATTGGATATTAATATTCATCCGATCAACTGGGGGCCCAAGATACCACTCTTCCCCCAACAGTTTGTGATCCTCTGAATTAAAGAAAGGGCAGAGATTGAGGGAGGCCCTAACTCCAAATCTTCTACCACTTCTAGGGAAGTGCTGAAAAGAAGTGCAAGGTACTCAACCCGCTCTGGGAATACAGCAGGAAAGCAGAGTGTTCATGGATTTCGAATTCCATCAAAGAAATACAACTTTGGCAAAATATCCAAGTCACTTTTCTAAGCCCCAGGCAGCAGCTCAAAACAAACAACACCAAAAACAAAACAAAATCTCTGCCCAGGTGAAATCATTGAAGACATAAAACTTTGTGAGACCTGTATTTAGAGCGAAGGACAATTCAATTTAGGGCTGCAGCAGAAAACCCCTACATCATATTGGGTTTTTCCTCATCATGAAGTTCTCCTGGAGGGACCTTCTCCCTTCAGCAGTGCATAGTGAGGCCATTTCTGTGTAAAAAGATAGAATCTCCTTGGATTCCTGATGTTTACATTTACTACTCACTTCTTTGACTTTGTAGATGCCAACTTCACATTCAACATCTTTCAATTATTTTCTTTACTTTGTCTAAGCAGAGAATTTAAACTTGTTTCTGAAGCAGAAAACCAGGGACTGGTTATTTGAGCTATCGCCCCACTCTGTGGCTCTCTTATGCAATAAGCATAAGAGATTGTGGGCCAACAGAATTTGTAGCAAGATAAACATAAACCCTTCATTTCAGCCTATGTTTCTGTTTGTCTGGTGATGTTCCAGTCTTGCTCCAGTCTTAACATTTTAAAAAGTATAATTTTACTTAAATTTCATTTTATAGGAAGTCATATATATTCATTTCTGTTAGGTTTCTCAGTGAAAGCCTCCTCAAAACAACTGTGAAGTAAAGACATGTAAATAAATTCATGGTGCTCCCATGTATTCATGCTCATTGCATCTTACAAATGTGTCAGCCCCACTGCAACAGATGGTGCATCAACAAATGGTGCTGGAAACCTGGATATCCACATGCAAAAGAATGATGCTGGACAAAATTTATGCCCTTCCATTACACCCTTTTCAAAAATTAAGTCAGAATGCCTTAAAGAACTAATCTTAAGAGTTAAACCTGTAAAACTCTTAAAAGAAAATACTGAGGGAAAGTCTTATGGTCATTAGAATTGGTAGTGGTTTCTTGGCTGGTGACCAAAAGTACAAGCAATAAAAGGAAAATGACAAATAAGACTTCATCAAAATGTAAAAACTTTTTTGCATCAAAGGACGCTATTAAGAGGTGAAAAGAGGCTAGGCGCAGTGGCTCACGCCTGTAATCCCAGCACTTTGGGAGGCCAAAGTGGGTGGATCACCTGAGGTCAGGAGTTCGAAATCAGCCTGGCCAACATGGCAAAACCCTGTCTCTACTAAAAATACAAAAATTAGCCGGGCGCAGTGGTGGGCACCTGTAATCCCAGCTACTCGGGAGGCTGAGGCAGGAGAATCGCTTGAACCTGGGAGGCAGAGGTTGCAATGAGCTGAGATTGCACCATTGCACTCCAGCTGGGGCATCAGAGAGAGACTCCGTCTCAAAAAAAAAAAAAAAAAAAAAAAAAAAAAAAAGTGAAAATAAAAGAAACTGCATAGAATAAGATAAAATATTTGCCAATCACATATCTGATAAAGAATTAATATCCAGACTACATACAGAACTACAACTTAACAATAGCAAAACAATCTCATTCAAAAATGGGTAAAAGACATGAATAGACAATTCTCCAGAGAAGATACACAGTAAGGACATAAAAATAAGGAATTCCAATAAGGACATGAAAATATGCTCAGCTTCACTAGTCCAGGTGTTGGTGAGGATGTGGAGAAAATGGAATGCTTGTGCACTGCTGCTGAGAGTGAACAACAGTGCAGCCATCATGGAAACAGGATGACGCTTTCTCAAGAAGGTAAACATAGAATTTCCATATGAAGCAACAATTCCACTTTTGGGTGTATACCCCCCAAAAATTGAAAGCAGGTATGCACACAGATAATTGTACAGTCATGCTCATAGCAGTGCTATTCCCAATAGCCAAAAGGTGGACGCAACCCAAGTGTCCATCAGAGGATGATTGGAAAAACAAAATGTGGTGCATATACACATGGAATATTAATCAGCCTTAAAAGTGAAGAATATTTGGATTGGATGGAACCTTGAAAACACGCTAAATAAAATAAGCCAAAAAAAAGGCAAATATGATATTTCACTTATATGAGGCACCTAGAATAAGCAAATTCACAAAAACAGAAAGTAGAATACAGGTTACCAGGGGCTGAAGGCAGGAACAATGGGCAGCTGTCATTTAATGGGTACAGTCTCTGTTGGGATGATGAAAATGTTCTGAAAATGCATGTTGGTGTTTGTGTAACCACCATCAATTGTAAATGTGCTTAATGCCAATGAATTGTACACTGAAAAAAATTGTTAGAAGGTAAATCGTATAGTATGTGTGTTTTACCACAATTTTAAAAATATATATCAACACCAAATCCAATCACTTCTCACTCCTCTGCCACCTCCACCCCAGAACCATCCTCACTAGGATAGAAAACCGGAAGGGCCTTCCAGCTGGGCTGCCTGCTGACTCTCATGCCCACTGTCCATCACCCACACAACAGAGAGAGCGTGCCTTTCCAATGGGAATTAGGGCATATCCTATGAACGCTCCAGCTCCTTCCCTTCTTAGGCACAAGGAAACCCCAGTTTCCCACCATTTCCTATGCACTCCTTATCACAGGGTCCCCTCTGGCCACTTTGGCCTCATCCCATTACTCTCAGCCTAGCTCATTCTTCTCCACTCACACCAGTTTCTTGTCTACTCCACCCTGTCTCCACCACCTGCCCCTGCTGTGACTCCCACATGCATGTGCTGCCCAGTGATCCACATGGCTCACTCCTCACACCATTAAGGTCCCTGCTTAAATGTCCCATGGTCAAGTGTTCAGAAATGTCTTGTCCAGTGACCTCTTCTGAAATCTATCCCCTGCCATTCCCACCACCGCCACCAATCTTCTAACCCAAGCATATTTTTCTTAATGGCAATTATCAGTGATACTATGACAGGTTTTATTTGTTTATTGTCTGTTGATTTATTAAGGTTACCAAGAAAGAAAGAACCAATAGCATAGGTACATAGATGATAGATAGATAATAGATAGATAGATGATAGATGATAGATAGATGTTAGATGATGATAGATAGATAGATAGATAGATAGATAGATAGATAGATAGATAGACAGACAGATAGATAGATAGGTGATTTATTGGGCTAATTGGCTCACACAATTATGGAGGCTGAGAAGTCCCATGATAGACTGTCTGGAAGCTGGAGAACTAGAAAAGCCAGTAGCGTGGCTCAGTCCAAAGTCAAAGCCCTGAGGACCCAGAATACAGAACAGGAGGATAAAGGGGCTCACTGGTGCAAAAGTCAGAGTCCAAAGATCATCGAACCTGGAGTTTTGATGTCCAAGGCAGGAGAAGAAGGGTGTCCCAGCCCCAGTTCCAGAGAGAGAGTCAGAGACAGAGAGAGACAGAGAGACAGAGACAGAGAGAAATTTTACTTCTATCTACCTTTCTGTTCTATCTGGGCCACTAGGTGATTGGACTGTGGCTGCCCACAGTGAGAGAGGATCTTCCCCACCAGTCCACCCACTCACATCCCTTCCAGAAAAACTCTCACAGACACTGGTTTAATACTTACAATTTGAGTAGTCTATAATTTATTTTTTTGAGATTGGGCTTGCTGGCTGGAGTGCAGTGTTGTTCATGGCTCACTGCAGCCTGAATCTTCCAGGCTTAAGCAACCCTCCCACCTCAGACACCCAAGTAGCTGGGACTACAGGCATGTGCCACCAAGCCCGGCTAATTCTTTTGAATTTTTTGTAGAGACAGGGTTTCTCTATGTTGCCTAGGCTGGTCACAAACTCAGGGGCTCAAGCAATCTGCCAGCCTGAGCCTCCCAAAGTGCTGGAAGTACAGGCATGAGCCACCATGTCCATCCTGAGTGTTCTATGAATTTTTAAAATCACAACCATAGAAGAATCTTCATGTACAAACATGCTTGTCAAAATATTCTTTACCAAAAGACAAGATGAAAGCACATGGATCTAAAAGAACCCTGGTGACTTCTCCTTGTTTGAGATGGGATGCAGCTTCTAGAAGTGTGTAAATTTTATGCAGACTTTATGACATGGAAAACTACTTTCATAATAATACATTCAAAAAGCAACTTCAAAATAACCCACAACCACTCTGGGAGGCCAAGGTGGGTGGATCACTTGAGGTCAGGTGTTCAAAACCAGCCTGGCCAACAAGTGTAACCCCATCTATATTAAAAACACAAAATTAGCCAGGCGTGGTAGTGCACATCTGTAATCCCAGCTACTCGAGGGGCTGAGGCAGAAGACTCACTTGCATCCGAGATGCAGAGGTTGCAGTGAGCCGAGATCATGCCACTGCACTCCAGCCCCTGGGGGACAGAGTGAGACTCCATCTTAAAAAAAACCCCAAAACTTATGAATGCAACTTTCTACAATGAAAGCATATATAAAAATATATACATAGAAAACAAAAGAATGGAAGTCAGCATCACTGCAGAAGATAGCTCCAGGGATGACCATTCACACTGCAGTCCAGGAAGTTTCAATAATATGATAGCAGTGGTTCTTTGGAGGGGAAGCCTGGGTGATATTTCTTTCTTCTCTGCATTTTTTTTTCTTTAAAATTCAACCAGGTGTTGATGTGTGCATTTTAAATTCTTCTGTAATCAAATACATTTTCATATTTCTAATGTAGAAACATGTATTTTTAACATTCAAAATAAAACATTTGAAGTAAAATAACAATGAAAAGTGGCTGAACACTGTGGTGGGCACCTGTAGTCCCAGCTACTCAGGAGGCTGAGATAGGAGAATGGCTCGAGCTCACGAATTTGAGGCTATGGTCACACCTGTGAATAGTCACTGCTCTCCAGCCTGGAGAACATAGTGAGACCTCATATTTAAAATAATAATAATAAAAAGAAGTTCAGATCTCCTTCCAATCTCAACCTAAAACAAATTTCTCATTTGAAGTCCATATGGCAGAAATGCCTACTGATGGCTCCTCCAGAGAGTAAAAAAAATATTGTTCCTCTACAATCCATGACTCATCCTTCTGTTACAGTGTTCACCTGGGCAATGAAGTCAACACTGAGAATATCATCAATTTATGGAATACTGATTATCTCTTTTATAGATATATAAATTATAATTATGTATATATATATTATATTATAATATATATAATTACCATCACACCTGAGAGAGTGAGATGGATTCTTTTCTTCCACAGATGAAAATCTGAGTCCCTGAGAACCTAGGGTTTTGGTATGGGTTCACTGAAAATGTTGGCCTTGAGAATTAGGAAACAGCTTCCTGCAGGCCTGCCTGGATGTGAGCCACACCAATGGAGTCTCCACAACAGCAGGAAGAGCAACTGAGAACCCTGGAAGCTTCACACTTGTAATGTTCCATGTCCAGCGGCATTCAGTTGATGGATGGGCCAAGATAAGAATACAGCTCCTTCCTTCAATTGGGGGTGGCAGAGGGGTGAATCAGTCAGCTACACATAATGTGTGTGGTGTTTCTACAGATATCTTTAATTACTCTGCTGAGAACTCCACCTCAAATGTACAAAAACTCTGTACTCACTGGTAAGCAGGATCCTTTTTAGGAAAGCAAAGGACTTTGCTGACTTAAGCAAAACATTTTCTCTCCAAATGAATTATCCTGATTGGATAATCTCTTACTCCCACTGAAATTAGCCCCAGAGTTGCATTTGAGCATTTGGGTCAAAGACAGAAAGTCATTTTGAGGGTTGGGCCTGGCTGATCTTGGACAATGTTCTGAAAGAGGGCTTTCTACTTGCAGAAGAACAAAGGTTTGCTCTGGGTAGGAGATGATGTCCTGAGAAGAAAAGACAGATAGGCAGATTCTCAAGCAAACTCAGGAGTTTACTATACAAAAGATTTTGGAATACCTTCCTCAGCCTCTTTTTCATTGTGGTAAAATACACATAAACACAAAGGATACCACCGTAACCATTTAAAGTGCACAATGCAGTGACAATTCGTATGTTCACAATGTTATGTAACCATCATCACTCTCTAGTTCCAGAGTGTTTTTATCACCTCAGGGGGAACTCTGCACCCATTAAGCAGTCACCCTCCATTTCCACCTGCCAGCAGACCCTGTCGCCACAAATCCACTTCTTTCTCTATCGACTTGCCTCTTATGAATATTTCACAAAAATGGGCTCATAAGTTACGTAGCCTCCTGTGACTGGCTTCCTTCACTTGTCTTGTTTTCAAGATTCAGCAATGTTTTAGCATATGCCAGTGCTTTATTCATTTTATGACCAAATAATATTCTATTGTAGGAAAAAACTATATGTTGTTTCTCCATTCATTGGTCGATGGACATTTTCTTTTAAATCAAATAGGAAAAACAAGAGAGGAATTACAAATATATATATGTGTGTGTGTATATATATATGTCTTGTAGGGTTGAGACAATCTCAGTCAGCTTTTTTTAACCTGTGAATGTCGTGATTTCTCCATCATTTCTGAAGGAGAGTTTTGCAGACATACAATTCTTGGTTGATAGTCCTTTTACTTTCTCAGCTTTAAATTTGTCATCCCAACGCCTCCTGAACCCCATGGTTTCTGATGAAAATTTGTATGTTAATCTTATTGAGGATCCATTGTACCTGAAAAGTTCCTTCTCTGTTATTGCTTTCAAGATGGTCTGTTTGTCATTGGTGTAGACTGGTTGATTATAACGTCTCTCAGTGTGGACTTCTAAAATTCTTGCTGCTTAAAATGTATCAAGTTTGTTGGATGAGTAAAATTATATTTTTCATCAAATTTAGGAGATTTGAAGTTATTATTCCTCCAAATAGCCATTCTTCTTTTTCTCTCTCCTTTCTTTGAGGATTCCCAAAATGCATATGCTTGGTGTTGTCTCACAGTTTTCTTAAGTTCTGTTCATTTTTCTTCATAATTTTTTTTTATTTCTGCACCTCAAACTGGATAATTTCAATTGTCTTACCTTTAAGCTTGCCGATTCTTCATTCTGCATAGTGAAAGTTGCTTTTGTAAAAAAGTAAATAGTAAATTTACTCTAGTAAAATATAGTAAAAAATAGTAAAATTACTCTAGTAAATTTTTCATTTCAGTTATTGCACTTTTCAGCTCCAAAATTTCTATTTGGTTTCTTTTTAAACTTTCTATCTTTTTATTGATGTTCTCTATTTGAGTTAAGATAGTTCTTCTGATTTCCTTTAGTTTTTTGCCCATAGTTTCCTTTAGCTCTGTGAACATATTTAAGCAGTCAATTCAAAGTTGTTTGTCCAGTAAGTATGTTCAATGGCCTTTCTCAGGAACAGTTTCTGTCAATTCCTCTTTTTTCTTGAGAATGGGTCTTACTGTCTAGTTTAATTGCATACCTCATTTTTATTTTGAATACTAACATGTGGTGACTTTGAAAATCATGTTTTCTAAACTATTTTTGTATAGACTGTATTCTTTATTGTGTGTCATCACTGAAGTCTCTATTCTGTAAGCTTAGTGGTCAACTCATGATTTGATAGATATTTCCTGAAACATCTTCAGCCAAAAAGAAATAAGAAAAGAAAATTCAATCTTTTTATCTGGGCTCTCTGTGTGTTTTGGGGCATGCCCTCAACACTCTGCTGGGCAGTTTACAATACTGCTTTGGCCTTCATTTCCTACTTGTGCAGATATTGAAAGTTAGCAAGAGGTGTGAACACAGGGCATTCTCAGGTGCTTTGTGAGTCTGTGCGACATACTGGTCATGGAGGAGGCTATACAGATTCCCAGGGATATGGAAGCTTTTCAAAACCCATATTCCCATCTCACTCACCCAGTTTCTCCTCCAGGCTTTTCTGTATGTCTATTACCTTTCTCATGTAATATATTTTTGCCCCAAGGGGGCAGCTGCTGGTTCAGTGGCACTTAAATGGTTTTAGCAGATGCCCTCTGCCTCTGTGACCTAAGAGAGTTCTGAGTAGGGAAAATAAATGCAAACCATTTATTTTCTTTTTCTTTCTTTTTTTTCTTTTTTTAGACAAGGTCTTGCTCTGAAGCCCAAGCTGGAGTGCAGTTGCACGATCCTGGCTCACTGTAGCCTCAACCTCCTGGGCTTAAGCAATCCTCCCACCTCAGCCTCTTGAGTAGCTGAGACTACAGGCACATGCCATAATGCCCAGTTAATTTTTGTATTTTTTGTAGAAATGGAGTTTCACCATGTTGTCTAGGCTGGTCTCAAACTCCTGAACTCAAGAAATGCACCCAGCTGAGCTTCCCAAAGTGCTGTGATTACAGGCATGAGTCACCATGCCCAGCCCAATGTAAGCCATTTCTTATCATCCTTCACGGAGTCACCCAACAGGAAAAGGTAGACAACCACAACACTTTGAGAACATGGTCCACTCGGCTCCCACTGGCATTGGAGCCCACACTAAGGAACCAGGCTGCTGTCTTCAAGATCACTACTGACTTGAACAGGGAGGAATGGGCCAAGGGTAAGATATGGTGCCACAAAGCTCTGCTCCTGAGTTCCAGTTGATTTTTCTGGACTTGCTAGGTTGCAATAAACCTTTGATGATTTTTCAGGGTTCCAATGCAGTTGATTCTTTATCAACCCAATCAGAATATCTGGTGGTAGGTCCAGGAATTCTTGCTTTAACAGCTCTCCGAGGGAATTTTTTTTTTTTTTTTTTTGATGGAGTTTTGCTCTTGTTGCCCAGGGTGGAGTGCAATGGCATGATCCCGGCTAACTGCAACCTCTGCCTCCCGGGTTCAAGCGATTCTCCTTCCTCACCTCCCGAGTAGCTGGGACTACAGGCGCGAGCCACCACACCCAGCTAATTTTGTATATTTAGTAGAGACTGGGATTCTCCATGTTGATCAGTCTGGTCTCGAACTCCTGACCTCAGGTGATCCCCCCACCTCGGCCTCCCAAAGTGCTGGGATTACAGGCATGAGCCACCATGCCCAGCCAAGGGATTTTTTTTTATAGTGATGTTTTACAAGCACATTGTCTCTGTGCAGAGGTGGCCCTTGGAGTTCCTATGCCACTATGTTCTCTGATGTCACTCCTCAGCCACCTTTGAATTGTGCTTATGCATCAGAATTCCTGATCTGCTAAGTACTTCCAGGAAACTCATTCAAATGGTAAACATCATTAAGCACCTACCTTATTCTGGGTACTGTGCTCTATGGAGTTGAGCCTCAGATAAAAGAATCAAACTTCCTTGGACTTCATAGAAGTCAAAGGTGGGGGTGGGAAGATAAATAAAGAAATTATAGCACAGCATGTTATGTATTTTACATGACTTTTTTCTTTGAAAGCTACATTATTAATATTTTATGACAGTACTGAGTTACATATACCAAAGATTACAAATTAAAATTTATGCTTTCTTTCTCTCTTTTGTTCTTACATATTTCTCTGTTCTTGTAGATATTTTGAAATTGGGTATTATGGAGACAGTGCAACAGTTTCATTTATATGATAATGTTTTGTTTTACCTTTATTCATCAAAGAGAGATTTGTCAGCTGCAAATTTCTAGTTTGACATTGGTTTTCTCTCAGATCTTTGATGATTATGTTGCTTCTGGCTGCTGTGGCTGACAGGGGATAGTCAGTTACATTTTAACCAGTTGCTTCTTAGAGGATCTGTGTTTCTCCTGTGGCAAATTTTAAGATATCTGTTTCTCTTTAACATCTTCTGTTCCAGTGCAGTATGAGTAAATGTGGATCTCTTTTTATTCACAGTGCTATGATACTGTTAGGTATGAGTTCTAAATTTCTCTTAAAATAATTAACATGTCAGTATGTTCAATTCTTTGCCCTCTACTTTTAAACTTAACTTCCTCATAAAGCAACCTTTTTTGATCACCTGTTCCACCCTGACTCATCCTGATTACTTGCTCCAGCCTGACTCATTCTGGTTACCTGCTCCACCCTGACTCATTCCAGTCACCTGCTCCACCCTGACTCATTCTGATTACCTGCTCCACCCTGACTCATCCTGATTACTTGCCCCAGCCTGACTCATTCCAGTTACCTGCACCACCCTGACTCATTCTGATCACCTGTTTCACTCTCTTTAAATTAGCCAATCTGAATTAGTTTAGCCTGTGCGGTCTAACCCTAGCCAATAGGGGAATAACACAGCAGCAGGGGCCACGTGCATCAGGGATAAGAACCCCTTCCCCTTCCTTGTCCAGGGGTGTGCTCACCATTGCTCCATCTGTGAGGGCACACCCTTGTATAGAAGTAATTGCCTTGCTGAGAAGAAAAAAAGAAAATTTTATATTTGAGTGCTATTTCTTTGTGGCATCAAGACTTTATTTACAATAATACATTTCCTTAATATTTTAAGATAACCTCTTTCTGGAATGCCTCTTTCCATTTACTCACTTCTCTTCTTCTAGGAATTTAATTAGAGAAGAATTAAATTAAACCTCATTCAACCACCATATACACTGTGGAATCCAAAATAATGGCCTCACACATATGTCCAAGCCCTAAGACGCAGACCATTTAGATATGTTACTTTACACAGCAAAAGGGACTTTGCTGATATGATTAAGAGCATGGACCTTTAGATGTGGAGATTATTTTGTATTATTTGAGTGGCCCCAATCTGATTGCATGATTTCTTTAACCTGGAGATGACTGGAGAAATATGGGTCAGATGGAGTGCTGAATTTCATCTAGAATAATTTCTTAATCTAGTAAAATAACATCATCTCTGTTTTTTATTCTTTAATTAAGTGGCAAAATGCATTAAAAGGTTTAAAGTTTAAATATCCTTGCATTCTTGGGCTATATACCTTGGTCAAGACAGTCTGTTTATAACACATTGGTTAATACAGTCTACTAATATTTTTCTTAGAATTTTCACATCTAATTAATTAAAAGTGATTTTCCTATAATAGGTAAATAGTAGAAGGGGGTAAGTCTCTTATTTTACAAATTATTCAAATAATACATGAAAAGAAATGGAAGACTGAGACTACAACTCTTTGCCATCCGTAATGAATGAACAGATCTAGCCACTGAACAGCAATGACAATTTTCATCACCAAAGGGAAATAACCAGTATTAAACTCTTCCCCTTGTTGAAAAACATGATATAGTACCACCAAAACTCACGGGGAAAAAAATCTCAATAGATGCAAACCTCTATACCAAACTACAAATTTCTAGAAAATGCAGGTAATAGAGATGCATATTAAACCATAGTTTGGGGTGCAATCCACAAAATACAAACAACAGGAAACTCTACCAGACAATATTAATTTCAAAGGGATAACCTATAGAACAAATAAGAACAAAAAACTTATTTTTAAAGGTAAAACTAAACTATCATTTGGGATGATGAAAATATAAAATAGAACAAAGAAGTGAGGACCACAAAAGTCAGGATGTGATTGATTTTTATTTGAAAAAATAAAAATTTACTATTGAACTGGGTCAATTGATGGGGCTTCTAGGTCAGCTGACAAACTTCTCTCTCTTTCTGATGGTTAAAGAGTGTTTACTGTTGATTAAAGGTCACCATTTTAAGATTTTTTTTCTTTTATGTCACCTGTGTTTTATGACAAAAAGGCGAACGCAGAATAAAATGAGTTATGGGGCACGGTTCCTGTTCTGCACAAAGCCTCCTCCCCATCCTCCTCTCTGGACACTGAGCACCCAGAACAACCGGCAGCCCCAGGACCCCTGGCAGGGCTGTCTCATTACTGAGTGTGCATCCAGCTCCACGGTTCCTGTTCTGCACAAAGCCTCCTCCCCATCCTCCTCTCTGGACACTGAGCACCCAGAACAACCGGCAGCCCCAGGACCCCTGGCAAGGCTGTCTCATTACTGAGTGTGCATTCAGCTCCACGTCGCTGGAGACAATGTCCACAGTTTATTTCTTGAGTCCTGGATGAACCTGACAGGACATAGCTGAGGGGAAGCCTGGCCCAGTCTGCAGGCTTTGGCCATCAGTGTAGAGGGAGGAGGTCCTCATCTCTCCACTGGAGCAGTTACAACCAGAGCCTCCTCTCTGCGTGGGAGTGAGGCTCGGTCCTTCCCCTGAACACGGTGACAGGGATCTCTCCACAGGTAGAGATGACACCATTCCTCCTGTAACATGGTCCAATCTCACGCTTGTTCTGCTTTACAAGAAAGTTGACCCACGCTGGTGTCCCCTGAAGAAATCACAGGCACAGAGGAGGGACAGGTGGATTTCAGGGCTGTGCTTGATCTGGGAAAGGAAGAGTGCAGACCGCCAGGTGGCGCCGCTGCACTGCTTCTGCGCCCAGGAGGTGCCTGCTGGGGCTGAGATTGAAGGTGGGGAGAAGGATGTCACAGCTCATCGCACAGGTTCCCGGTAAAAATCCTCCTGCCCAGCCTAGCGGGCTCTCCCTTAATCAACTGTAGCGAAAACTGTCTCCTTCTCACGTTCCTGGAAGGTGCTTTTTGACACAAGAAAGAGGATGTGATTGCTAGGGTCATCATGTCATTGTTTATTGTGTTGCCAGTAAAGTGAAATCAAAATACACAATAAATAATAAAATAACCCATGATAAGCCAATGTTTATAATGTACTAACACCACTGAGCCAGTGTTTATAATGTACTGACACACTCCAAGTGTGGGCACAGCTGCAGACATGCCTTGTCTCTTGGGTCAGGACACAGGGTAGAGTGAAATGGAAAGAAATCCCAGTCACTGCAGAAAAGGGCCCCCATGGAAGAGGCCTGGCAGGGAGGCCAGCTGTCCCAGGGCCGCCATATTTAGGGATGACTCCCCCTTTCTGGGCAGCACTGGTTTTTTTAATTATTTTTGCATTCACAGTAGTTCTGAAATTGCAGGATGCTGAGACCCAGCACTGGTCAGTTACACCGTCTCTTCTTCACCATTAAATACTGTGCCAAACAGCACCTTCATACATTTCCATCCTCTTCCAGGAGAGAATCAAAACAACAATGGACACATTGATGCATGCAAAAATACTTTAAATATGTGCTATCAGAAGTAGCTACTAAAACATTAATTCCACTGAAATGAGGGAGGCTGTAAAAAAGAAAAACATTGCATACCCGTATTCACAGCAACATTACTCACCATAGCCAAGACAAGGAAGCAAACAAAGCACCCATCAACACATGAATAGATGAAGAACATGTGGTCTATGTAGGCAATGGAATATGATTCAACCTTAAAAAGAAGGAAATTCTGTTACATGCTGCAACATGGATGAACCTGGAGAACAATGCTAAGTGTAATAAGCCAATCACAAGGAAATTCCAATACTGCGCAATTCGTTATATGCGGCGTCTAAACTCTTAGAACCTGAAAGTAGAATGGCGGCTGCCAGTGGTTAGGCTGGGGGGATTCATGAGGAGATTTTCAGCGTAGAGTTTCAGTTTTGCAAGATGAAAAGTTCTAGAGATCTGTTGCATAACAATGTGCTACAGTTCATATTATAGTACTCTATACTTAAAAATTGTTACGATACCAAATTTTATATAATATAGATTTTGGCGCAATGAAAAAAATAATTAGCTCTGATACCAACTTAGGAAAAGAGCACATGAATTTATTGAAAATATATTAGCATGTGCTTACTATGAAAAAGAGATGCAGAAAACTGTGAGACAAAAAGAGAGATCCTTGCTACCCCAGCTATTATCCATGAACCAGCAGAACCAGCATCTCATGAAACTGGACAGAAAGGCTCACAGGCCCAGCCTTGACAGGTTGATCAGTCTGCATTTGTCAGGACCCCAGGTGGCTCCACTGCATGTAAAGCACCGCCCCAGATGGTGGTGGAGGGAGATCCTAGGAAGGTGACTCTGTCCCACAGGTAGAAGCCTCCAGTCCAGATGGGAGCAGCCAGAAGGGCCCAAGAGGGACATTTCCAAGAAAGTAAAATTAATAGAAAGTTCAAAGTCTCTAATTTCTTAACAGAGTCACAGAAATGGAACAGATATCAAAGTTAAATTAATGAGAGTTATCTAGAACATAAACAAAAACAAAGGCAAGTATTAACTTGAGGAAGAACAAATACTACGAAGCAAGTGAAAAGTAGTCAAGTTGACATATGAGAAGATGAGTCACGGAAAAAAACAAGGAGTGGCTGAATTAAACATAATTACTATATAAATATACTGGGAAAAGGAAAGAACGGGAAGAGTGAAAGAGAACAAGTGATGGATGTGGTGACGTCGCGTTCTCCCGGGCGGGGCCGGAGGCGGTACAGATGAGGGACACATTCATGGCTAACGGGACCGCTCTTCTCGTTCTGCGTTCTGCTTGCGGCCGGTAGTCTCTCCTCCCCGCCCATGGGCGGTGGTTGGAGGCAGGGGTGCGGAATCCGGCCGACCTCGCTGTCCTCGCCCTCTACCTTGTGGCATCGGTGGGGTTGGGGAGATGAGTTCTCCGACGCAGTAGGCACCCCTGCTCATCTCCTATGGCTGTTGCCTTTTGGGCAGCCCCTCTTCGCGGCGGTGGGGCTGTCGCGCCGGCCTGTCACGTTGCCCTTCCCTGGGCTTGTGAGGATTGGCTCCGCTTGGACCTTTGCGGTGCTCCCGGAGCCCTCCAGGTTGTCCCTCCGGTGCCGGAGGCCAAGCGGTGGTGTCCTTCCTGTTCCCAGCGCCCCCTCCTCCTGTCGCTGCTGCAGTGCCTGTGTGTGGGTCCTGAGGGGTTTTGGGGAGGTAGAATATTTTTATTTATTTAAATAAATTAAAAAATAAGAAAAAAATACAAAAAGAAAGAGAACAAGTAATCTTAACTATTGATTCCACCATCGTGCAGTGCAATAGTCAATGGCTGCAACTGAAAAATCAAGCAATGTTAATAAAGAAATGGTGCTTTGGTGCTTAGATATGTGAAAGTAAAGTCAAAAGAATCAGCTGAAACTTGAAAGTGGTTGCTCCCTAGAAAGGCAGAAATAGAGAAGAGAGGACTCTCCCTAGAAAGGCAGAGAAGACTCTCATTTTTCTCAGAAAGTCCTGCACAAATATTTACTCTTTCCATTATGTGCAATTGTAACTTCGAATAAAATAAAAACAAAAGCTTCAGTTAACATGCAAGTTTATGCCTAATGACAACTTTGTTTAACAATGATAAAGGGCTAACCAAAATATAAAAACACTTAAACATGTGGCTCACGCCTGTAATCCCAGCACTTTGGGAGGCCGAGGCGGGTGGATCATGAGGTCAGGAGATCGAGACCATCCTGGCTAACAAGGTGAAACCCCGTCTCTACTAAAAATACAAAAAATTAGCCGGGCGCGGTGGCGGGCGCCTGTAGTCCCAGCTACTCGGGAGGCTGAGGCAGGAGAATGGCGTGAACCCGGGAAGCGGAGCTTGCAGTGAGCCGAGATTGCGCCACTGCAGTCCGCAGTCCGACCTGGGCGACAGAGCGAGACTCCGTCTCAAAAAAAAAAAAAAAAAAAAAAAAAAAAAAAAACACTTAAACATAAAACAGCATGTATAAATGTGTATGTGACATCAACCCTGAATACAAACTTGAAAGAATATGTCTATAAACAACTCTGGATAGATAGCCCATGAATGAATTCCCCACTCCAGCATCTTTACTGGTTGTCCTGTGAGCCTAGGCAGGGAGGGGACCAGGACCTGACTAGGGTCCCTAATACTCTTGCTTCCAGGCAAGTCCTGCATGCACTCCTGCTGCACCAAGGGCTCCCATCCCTGCCTTGGTCTGTTTCATAGGTGCTCCCCTAACTCTCTGCCACCACTGCCTTACCTGGGTGGAGCTGAGGCCGCCCTGACCAAGAAGAGCACCAGCCATCTATGTGCCCCAAAACCAGAAAGTCAAAAGAAACCTTGCAACAGGGTCAGGAACTATCCCACCTCCCCACCTCCGAATCAGTCTGAACTGATGGCGGGAGATGCTGATGCTTGCTTTACTCATCCTCATTCCCTGTGCATTTATTTTTCACTAATTCAGTCCACATCTCCTAGAAGCAGACTGACCCCTACCCTTCATAATCAGGAAACCCCAGAGCACTTTTTATCCCCTCCAGAATATAACACTTCAGCTCTGCATCATCACATGAGGGCTCCAACTCTGTAGGGCAGGTGTACTCTCACAGCTTCAGGCCCTGAACATTTGCTTCAGATGTCCCCCCATCCCTTTCCAGACCTGTCTGTGTTGCTCTGAATCTGTCCTTCCCTGAGAACTGGCGGGGAGATATCAGGGAGGAGGGGAGATTTCTTTGTGCTATGTCAACGCATCTAGACAGAGCTCTCATTCTCCCTTGAACCTCAACTCTATCTGTTCCCAGACACTTGAAATAAAACACAGACCAGAAATGTCTATTTAAAAGCTAAATATCTATAGTATAAAATATGAAGACAGAGTAGAATGGGGTAATGCAGGAGAGTGTGACAGGGCGAGGGGACCTCAACGTGCCAGGAAAGTTGGTCCTTGGCTCCCCGGAGGAGCCGTCACCAGGACACTCACTCATAAAGCTCACCTGTGATAATACAACTACATGACATTAATGTATTAAAATATAATAAAATCATAACAAAATAACAAAAATAATATGGCACAGCTGCAAACACCTCATATATACTAACACTTTTCATCCACCCAACCACAAGAAATAAATGTTGTTACATTCCCTATTTCATAGATGAGAAAGCTGAGCCAGCAAGAGAAAAAGTGCTGGTGAGACCTGGGCAGGGCGTTCAATCCAGGCCGCCTGGCTGCAGAGTGTAGGTGCCCTCAGTAGAGCCAGTGGACCTGGGAGCTGAGAGCAGAGACTGAAATCCCAGCTGTGCACTGCCCTGGTGTTCTGTCTGAGTCAGGTGTTGATCTGGGCCTTGCAGGCTCATGTGCTCTGGAGAAAAGAGAGAAAATAGTAAGTGCTCCCCTGGGTGCACAGTGCTGCTTTTTACTCCCTGACGACTTCTCCCTCCTCAGTCAGTCCCAAATCAGATTCACCCTTTCTCCGAGGGAAGATGATGTCTGCACTTTTTTCTCCCTCCCATGGCACTTTTCCCAGCCCCTGCCAGTCCCCTCCCGTGACTCCATCAACATCAGCCCCTGCCCTGTGCCCACCAGCCACCATGCAAGGAGGAAAAGAGCCCCAGGACCAAAGGACAAGACCTGGGAAAAACCCAGTGCCCTCCCCTCCTCTCAAGCCTGGCCAGCTCTGACAGCAGGAGGACTCCCCAAAGAGAGGCTCTGGCCCTGGCTCCATGTCCTTCCAGGACTGGGCTGGGTCACACGCACAGTCCTTCTCTTCCTCAGTCCCCAGTCCCACCTCACCTGTAGAGACACCTGCACACAAAGGCAGGCCCTAAACACTGTGGTTCTGCCCTCCACCTGCAGCTCAGTGCTCCTCCACTTCCAGCCCTGAGCAGGCAGCTCCTAACTGGGAAGCCCATTAAGAATCCCATCAGCATGGCAGGCCCAGCATGGAAACATGTAGCTGCTATGGGGTCTGCAGCTGACCTGACCCTGGGAACCCCCTTGCTCAAGGAGCCTACCCTGACCCCCAGGCCCATGACCTGCACTTGGGCCATGCTTGCTCCAGCCTGGTCCACTCATCCCTGGAAGCACAGCTTCTCCCCAGGGCTGCTGCTTGGGGAGGCTGAAAGGCCTTCCTCTCCTGTTCCTAGCAGGGATTCCTAGCAGGGATTCCACCCAAGCCACTGCCCTCACAGCCCATAGGGGATCTTCTTCTCCCTGTGGAGTAGAAAGTTTCTTGAGACCCCTCAGCCTGAGGCTGCCTCTGCCCACCCTTTGCACTTGGGGATTGCCACTGCCACAGCCACTGTCTCCCACATGGACCGTCCTGGAGAGGGAGCTCCACATTTGAGTTCCTGTTTCATTTGATATAGGTTACAACATTAGTATTGGTGGAAATCCTTTTAAGACCCAGCTGAAACTACGAACATCTTTATTGGACATCAGCATTTAAAGCAGGAATTTTGAGAAATTAGCACATAACTTTCACACCCCTTTCCTGGCCAGTGCCCCAGTAACCTACAAGGCAACCGTTCCCGCCCACGGGGAACCAGAACTGACAATCCCTCTTCAGGAGACACCACAGGTGAGAGCAGGAGCGACCACAGACCTGCACTGCCCCTGCTGTGGGTGCCTCCTGGACAGGGCCCTCTTGCTGCAGGGCAGGGGATTAACCATCCCATCTGCCCAGGCCTGAGGGGCCAACTGACAGTGCAATTAGGTTCAAGGATGAGAAATCACCACCCCCTGCCAGATACACAGAAGTGGGGAAATGGCAGAAAGACTCGGGTTTCCCGGACACTCCAGGCTCTCAGTGTCTCCTGCACTGTCTCTGTCTTTGCAGAAACACAAAACTTGCTGCTTGCTCTTTTCCCCTCCCTTCAAACAACCTGACTGTGCGGGAAATCATCCTGACCATCTCTCACTCCAAACTCATCAGGCAGTGCTTATTCTTTCAAAGGTATTTTGTGACTGTGCAAGCAAATATAAATGTATATGTGTATGTTCTTTCTCCCTTTGCACACAAATTTTAGCAAACTACATATGCTTTTCTGTACCTTGCTGTTTTCCCTTACCATTGTATCACGGAGACCATCCCATGAAGAAATATCAAGAACTACACTATGTCTTTCTTTTTTTTGTTCAAAAATTTCTTGGCAATCCATTGTATAGGCATGCATTTTTTAAAATAGAGATTACCCTTTTTGAATGCAATGCTTTTTAACCAGCTCCCTACTGATAGACATTTGGATTATTTCTTTCAGAGAACAATTTGACATCATGTAGCATCATATGGGAAGGGTGCAGTGACCCCACTCTTACATGCATATCCTAGGGGAGCTCACATATTCTTGGAACCAGAAAACAATGTCCCAGCATGTTCATTGCAGCAGTGTCTTTAATAAAGACTATGTAGAGGTCAATGAAGTGGGGAAGAGATAAATTGTAGCATATTCCTCCCATGGAATACTATCTAGCAATGAAAACAAATGAACTATTTGTGTGAACATTGATCCCTCTCATAGACCATGTTAACGGAAAAAGCAAGCAAATGCATAACAAAATCAGCAAGAAACAATTTATAAAAAGTCTAAAAGTAAAGCCAGGCAAGGGGGCCTATACCCATAATCCTAGCATCTTGGGAGGCCAAGGTGGGCAGATTGCTTGACCCCAGGCGTTCCAGACAAGTCTGGGAAACATGATAAATCCCTTTCTCTACAAAAAATACAGAAATTAGCCAGGCATGGTGGCGCGAACCTCTAGTCCCAGCTACTCAAGAGGCCTAGAAGGGAGGAATTGCTTAAGCCTGGCAGGTAGAGGCTGAAGTGAGTTGTGTTTGTGCCACTGCATTTCAGTCCAGGTGACAAAGTGAAACCATGTTAAAAACAAACAAACAAACAAACAAAAACAAGAGACTTTTTAAAACTTAGTAAGAATATAGGGGCATACAGCAAATTCAAGACACACATTCACCAACAGTTCTTGCTTTGCTCAGTACAGTATTGACTGAAACACATGCATAACAGAACTGTGGAAAATCAGGGCTATCTACACGTGTTTCTGTTATTTTCTATGTATACTACATACAGCCAATAATATTAAAATGTCACAAATTGACAAACCTGGGTGGCAGCTTCACAAAGATTTCTTATAATTCTCTATTTTTTCTTCTAGCTAGAACTACCTTATAATAAAATTTGTGAAGTGAATCCACAGAAATTGAGCAAAATAAAAAGGAGTCGTTGAGTGTGAGGAAAGCTACAGAGAAGTAAAGACAGGTGGAGACATGACAATACTGAGCATGTTAGTGACCTTCACAGTAACTGACTTCCTGGAGGAGTGTGAGCTTAAGCCAGAATGAAGTGATAGACCGTGAAAGACGGATGAAGGAGTAGGAGCTTCTGGAGGCAAACATGGTATGTGGTTGGCTGGATTGGGATATGTGGAGGGACTCTGAACATTCTGCTTTAGGTCCAGCACTAGAGAAAGAGGACTCATCTTTATTTAGCACCTTCCACAATCTGTAGAGAAATCTGAAACATTGCAAAAGAAGATATATGAATGGCCAGTTCAGGGAAAAATGCAAAGTAAAACCACAGTGAGAAACCACTAAGCAACCATTAGAATGGCTAAAATTAAAATGATTAATAACTATAAATGCTAGCAAGGATGTGGAACAATCTGTACTCTCCTCCATTGCCTATAGGAATATAAAACATCCATTTTGAAAATCAATTTCATATCATCTAATAAAGTTAAACAAGCTAGTCCTCTACAGCTACCATTTCCACTCCTAGGTATATACTCAAGAGAAATGAAGATTTTGTCGATAATCCCTGCATAAAAATGTTCATAGTTTCTTTATTTATAATAGTAAAAAACAAGAAATAACTGCCAATGTACAAAAATCATGATTCAGTCATACAATGGAATATTATCAGCAATGAAAATGAAAGAACTACTGATACGTGCACCAACATGGATTGATCACATAGGTATTACAACAAGCGCAAAAAGCCAGATACAAGGGAGGCCATATGGGATGAGTAGATTTGTATGAAGTTTTAAAACAGGAAGAACTGTGCTATCCTGACAGCCGTCAGATCAATGGCTGCTGGAGGCATGGAAGCTGAGTTGAAGGGAGAAAAAGGGATCTTTATGTACATTGATAGTGGCAAGAGTAATATGCTGTATTGGTCAAAATTCATTGATAAATTTGATGAAGATCTGATTATTTTGGTATATGTACATTTTATAAGCTTAAAAAGCTTATAATAAAAATTATAAAGTTGCTGATAAAAATAATAATTAAAAATATTAGCAACAAAATCCAACAGTATACCAAAAGAATAATACACCATGATATGTCCATATATGGCAAACACACAGCTAACATTATACTGAATAGGGACAAGCTTATAGCCTCTCCTCCAAGATCTGGAAGAAGGCTAAGACTCCCACTTTCATCACTTTTATTCTACACAGCACTAGAAGTCCTAGCAAGAGCAATCAGCCAAGAGGAGGAAATAAAGGGCATCCAAATTGGAAAGGAGAAAGCCAACTTAGCCTTATTCGCAAATGGCATAATCTTTTACTCAGAAAAAACTAAATATTGGCCGGGTGCGGTGGCTCACGCCTGTAATCCCAGCACTTTGGGAGGCCAAGGCAGGCGGATCACGAGGTCAGGAGATCGAGACCATCCTGGCTAAAATTGTGAAACCCCGTCTCTACTAAAAATACAAAAAAAAAAAAAAAATTAGCTGGTCGTGGTGGCGGGCGCCTGTAGTCCCAGCTACTCAGGAGGCTGAGACAGGAGAATGGCGTGAACCCAGGAGGTGGAGCTTGCAGTGAGCCGAGATCGCGCCACTGCACTCCAGCCTGGATGACAGAGCGAGACTCCATCTCAAAAAAAGAAAAAAAAAGAAAGAAAGAAAAATCTAAATATTCCACCAAATAAATGGTGAGAACTAATAAGCAAATTCAGTAAAATTACAGGATACAAAATCAATGTGCAAACTTTCAGAGCATTTATATATACAAGCACCATATAATCTGAAGAAGAAATCAAGAAAGCAAAACTATTTACAAATCATAAAGAGGATAAAATAACTAAGAATCAATTTACCCCAGGAAGTAAAACAAAAACTATAAGGCACTGATGAAGGAAATTGAAGAGTACACAAAACTGGAAGAGCCAGGCGCAGTGGCACATACCTGTAATCCTGGCACTTTGGGATGATGAGACAGGAGAATTGTTTGAGCCTGGGAGTTCAAGACTAGCCTGGGAAACATAGTGAGACCTTGTCTCTAAGGAAAAAAAATAAAACACACAAATTGGGAGAATTAATATTGTTAAATATTAATTTAAAAAATGAAACACATAAATTTCATGCACATAAATTGGGAGAATATTGTTAAAATGTTCATACTACCCAAAGCAATTTACAGATTCAATTCAATCCCTATCAAAATACCAATATCATTATTCACAGAAATAGAAAAAATTATGAAATTCATATGGAATCATAAAATATCCCAAATAGCCAAAGCAATCGTGAGCAAGAAGAACAAAGCTAGAGGTATCACACTTCCTGAATTCAGAATACAATATAAAGTTATAGTAACCAAATCAGCATGGTGCTGGCATAAAAACAGACGCATAGACTAATGGAATACAAAAGAGAACTCACAATAAATCCATGCATTGATAGCCAACTCATTTTTGGTAAAGAATATACAATGGAGAAAGAACAAAAGCAACAATGGAGAATAAATGGAGCTGGGAAAATGCTACCAGATGCAGAAGAATACCACTAGAACCCTGTCTCCCACCATATACAGAAATCAACTCAAAATGGATTAAAGATTTAAATGTAAGTCCCAAAACTATAAAACTACTAGAAGAATGCTTACAGGAAACACTCCAGACATGGGTCTGGGCAAAGACTTTATGGCTAAGACCTCAAAAGCACAGGCAACAAAAATAAAATAGACAAGTGGGACTATATTAAACTAAATAGCTTCAGCACAGCAAATGAAACAATCAACAGAATGAAGAGGCAACCTGTTGAATAGAGAAAATATTTGCTATGTATTCATCCAGCAAGGAACTAACATCTAGAATATACAAGGAACTTAAAAAACTCAGCAGTAAAAACACAAATAATCCAATTAAAAAATGGATAAAGTGTCTGAATAGATGTTTCTCAAAAGGAGACATACAAATGGTCAACAGGTATACGAAAAACACTCAACCTTATTAAATATCAGGAAAATGCAAATCAAAACTATAATGAAATATCATCTTATCCTATTTAGAATGGCTACTAATAGGAAATAAAAAATAATGGATAGTGGTGAGCATGTGGAGAAATGGGAACTGTTGTACACTCTTGGGAAAGTAAGTACAGCAATTATGGAAATCAGTATAATGATTTCTCAAAAAACAAAAAATAGAACTACTATTGGATCCAACAACTCCACTCATGGGTATTTATATAAAGGAAAAGAAATCAATATATCAAAAGACTACCTGCACCCCCAGGTTTATTGAAGCACTATTCACAGTAGCGAAGTTATGAAATCAATGGGTGAATTCATCAATGGGTGAATGAATAAATGGTGGTATATATATACACAATGGAATGCAATTCAGCCATAAAAAAGAATGAAATCCTGTCAGTTGCAGAAACATGGATGTAACCAAAGGTCATTACGTTAGGTGAAATAAGCCAAGCAAGGAAAGACAAATACCACATGTTGTCACTAATATGTGCGAGCCAAAAAGGTTAATCTTAGGGAGGTAGAGAGAGTAGAATGACAGTTCCCAGAAACTGGGAAGAATGTAGGGGTGGGAAAATATAGAGATGCAGGTTAATGGATGCAAATGTCCAATTATATAGAGAAAATAAGTTCTAATGTTTGATAGCACAGCAGACTGACTAAAGTTAACAAAAATGTATATTTCAAAATAGCTATAAGAGTGGATTT
This sequence comes from Homo sapiens, assembly GCF_000001405.40. Taxonomy (NCBI): domain Eukaryota; kingdom Metazoa; phylum Chordata; class Mammalia; order Primates; family Hominidae; genus Homo; species Homo sapiens. The sequence continues at coordinate 1,121,554 of NT_167247.2, forward strand.
GGCTGGGCGTGGTGGCTCATGCCTGTGATCCCAGCACTTTGGGAGGCCGAGGAGGGTGGATCATGAGGTCAGGAGATCGAGACCATCCTGGCTAACATGGTGAAACCCCGTCTCTACTAAAAATACAAAAAAAAAAAAAAAATTAGCCGGGCGTGGTGGTGGGTGCCTGTAGTCCCAGCTACTCGGGAGGCTGAGGCAGGAGAATGGTGTGAACCCGGGAGGCGAAGCTTGCAGTGAGCCGAGATCGTGCCACTGCACTCCAGTCTGGGTGATGGTGTGAGACTCCATCTCAAAAAACAAAACAAAACAAAAAAGAGTGAATTTAAAATGTTCTCAACAGAAAGAAATGATAAATGCTTGAGGTCATGGATACCCTAAATATCTTGACTGATACACACATTCTATGCATGTATCAAAATGTCACATGTATCCCATAAATATGTACAAATATTATGTACCAATTTTAAAAAATTTAAAAAATAAACAACACAATATGGGGCATTTAAAAAGGTACAAAAATTATGAGCATGATAAAAATTTGGCAAATATTTTCCTTTTTATTAAGATCTTTTTCATTCCATAAGTTTAAGGAGAATAAAGCCCATAAAGCATCAGAAGAAGTTGCTCTCCTGAAAGAGACTCTTCTGCTCAGTTAAAAAGACAGAAACAGAATCACTGGAGTGAGTAGGACTTTGGAGAACTGCACAGCACCATGTCTTAGTGTCTGGGATTACACAGACTTAGGGAGGAGGCCTCACCTTCCGGGAAGAACTAAACTTTGGTTCTCTTTCTTGTTTTTTCTATTGCAAGACCAAAATTTTAGAAAACCAAGAGAAAGATTTCAGCCAAAGGGTTGTACTGTCTATTACTCTCTTTTATTTTTTAGAACATCCATTGTCAAAGACGATCCAGACTGTTACAAGAGGAATTGTGTTCCTACGCCACCAAAATCCACATGTTGAAGCCCTATGTTGAGAAGGCAGAAGAAGTGGCCATCTACAAGCAAAGGAAAGAGGCCTCAGAAGAGATCAACCCTGCAGCACCTTGACCTTGCACCTGTGGCCTCTGGAACTGTGAGACAACACATATTTATTATTTAAGTCACCCAGCCTTTGGTACTTTGTTATGGCAGCCCTAGCAAATTAAAACAGGAATATTACCTTTTCTACCTTGTCCTATGTATGAACATGAGATTTTTTTAGGAGTATGAATTACCTGAGATTTCAAAAGATAGAGTGAGGCAATTGAAAATAGATGATATAGGGTCATTTCCAAGCCTCTGAGTGTCCCCTGGCCACCACAGAAAAATGAAGATGTTCCCATTCCCTTTCAGTTTCACACAAAGCAAAAGTTGTAGACCTAAACTGACATAGAATCGCCAACTGCATTAATTTATTTGAGATAATGAGGGAGCTAGTTTTGCCCAAATTTCACAGAAAGACGATGAACAAGTAGTAAGCTAAAGAGGCTTCTTTTGCAGGGGATTGCAGGTATTATATGTTTTTCTCCTACTTTTAAGATACATTTTCCTAAAAAGTTTTGTCTAGGAGTAAATGTCATCACTTTGTTTTTTTTCCTCCCAATTGAATCACTTGTTCCTCCCTGCATTTCAGTAATGTTGCTAGCATGGAGGTGTTTGTCCATGATTCACAGATGATTCAAAGAGCAGAGAGCTTCTCCTGAGGTCACACAGCACGTAAGCGGTGGAACAATGGCAGGCACATGACTCTCTAGGCCCCTAGTCCAGTTTTCTGGGTTCTGTGAGAATTGTAGCCCTTGGTTTCTGTTACATGTGGTTCTCTTTTGAGCCAGAGAAGGAGGACGCACAGTGAGAAGAAAGTGCCAGAGCCCCAAGTCCTGGCTTAGATTTACTGGGCTGGGGCATGGAGAGAGAGGCTGCCACTGATTCTCTTAACTCCAGCTTCTATTACCAGTCACTAAGCTGAAAGCAGGAAAGTTTATCTTCTGCACTTGGTCCATCAGAACTAAGATGGCAGAAAGCCCCACTATCTACCACGGAAAAGACAAGGGTCCCTCTTACCTTGAACCATGACCCAGCTTTCTAACTACATATGTTTTTCTGCACATGTAGCTATTTTTCTTCTCATCAAGCTCCAGTACTCACAGTGCAAACACAGGAGATACTGAGCCTGATGCTCTGATGGAAGCTCTGAGTTGAGATTTTATTTTATACTTAGGTGCCTCTGAGTCATTAGAGTTTTTTGCCTGACTCCACTCTGGCCCCATTTCAATCAAGGTCTATATGCTCTGGGACCTCTCCAGGTTCTCATCAGAAATGAAAAAAAAAAAAAAAAAAAGCCATGTCCAGCTCCTGGGTCCTCCCTGATAGCAGTGAGAGGCAGCTCCTAATGGGAGAGAGCCTTGGGGTGACCAAGGCCTCACAGACTTCATTATTCCTGGACCACATGGCTCCAGCCTCCTGATCACAATGGATCAGTGGTCTTAGATTCCGCTCCAATATTTGAAGTTTTTTGTTCTTCGGCCTCGGCAAATGCTCTCTGGTTGAGATGAAGGGAAAAGACACAGAGACGCAAAAGCTGTGACTGCATGGAACTCTGTCCCAGGTACCTCCCGGTGTTCTCTTACTTATGTTGGCCATGTCCTCATGAATTTAGTGAAATGGGCATGTTGTCTCTGAGTGGAAGTGAGGGGACACTACTGGGCAGAGCTCCATCGAAGGGTGGCTGGTGTCCTCTATACCATTTATCTACACATGTTGGGGTTTTTCTAGCATGAAATGTCCCAGAGGCAGCCAAACCCGAAGCTTGGCTCCTCCAAGGAATGAGTGTGAGTATCATAGCCCTGGCCAATGAGCACTGAACTCTAGAGAGACCAAGAGACCTTCTAAATATTGGGACACTTTAGTTCTGAATCCCAGAAGTTGGCTTCTTGCCTGGGAGGCAGGTGTCACTGCATCTGATCCAAAAAAGCAGCCCCATAGCTCAAGATGCTCTTCTGGATTTCTGCCTCTTCCTGGTTCCTGGCCAAGCAAATCTTCACTGCTTTGCTAGCCCATCTATAAATTCAACCAGACTTTTCAAATATGTATTTTCCTCCCATTTTTCCAGTTGTACTCAATGGGAGAAGTGGTCCAAATGACCTAATCAGCAATTGCTGGAAACCAAAGTAACAGTATACAATTCTATGTGTTAATATCATATACCAAGAGAGAAAATGTATAGATATCAGTAGTAGCCATTTAAGCACTGTAATAATATCTATCTATATCCCATGAGTATAATATATATAAATAAATGATAACAAGAAAATAATCTTTATGTGTAATACATGACTATGACTCTGACAGACAAACCTGAGAGCATAGTACGACACTTATCACCTTCACTCATGAGCCAGATAGTGTGAAATGAGAAGCAGAGATTTGAAATGTGTTGCAAAACTCTCTCAAAGAAAGTAGAGTAATATTTTTCGTGAGCAAATCAAAGCAATCTCCTCACAAATCACATTGGACTTATAATGTGTGGGATGTGTCTTTATTAAAATGGAGGTAATCCTAGGTATGTGGTCTTTTTTACATGAACCGTACTGTCACTGGCTCACTAGCTGTCACTTCACCAACAATCATTCCATTTAATAAAAGGGAGATCCCCCCATGGGCCAGCATTTCCCAGGTGGAGGCCTCTTGCAGGCATAATCTTCCAACAGAGAATTTCCCTGGGAACCTAGAAAGAAGAGAAGAGGCTCAAGCAAAAAGGATGAAAGAAATAGCAACAACGGCGGGGCATGGTGGCTCACACCTGTAATCCCAGCACTTTGGGAGGCCGGAGAGGGTGGATCACCTGAGGTCAGGTGTTCAAGACCAGACTGCCCAACATGGGGAAACTCCGTTTCTACTAAAAATACAAAAAATTAGCTGGGTGTAGTAGCGGGCGCCTGTAATCCCAGCTACTCTGGAGGCTGAGGCAGGAGAATCGCTTGAACTCAGGAGGTGGAGGTTGCAGTGAGCCGAGATGGTGCCACTGCACTCCAGCATGGGCAACGAGAGCAAAACTCCATCTAAAAAAAAAAAAAAAAAAAAAAAAACCAACAGCGATAATATCATACACTGTCATGGTGCTATGTGTTAATCCGTGTCCTTAGCACTTTCAAAATATGAATTCATTTAATTGTCACGATACATCTATGGGGTGTGCCTGCTAATTTTCCGTTTTCAGGTGATACAATAGGAAAGAAGGTCGCCTACAAGTCGTGGTGGAGCTGGGCTTGCACGCAGACAATCCTGCCCCAGGGCCATGCTCACATCTCTGCACTATCCAGAATGTGAGGGTGGGTGGAGAGTCCAGCTCAGGGAGAGTGATTGGAGAGACAGAATAATAAGAAGAGTGGGCAGACTGGATCACTCTGATGGTTCTGGGGCTTCTCTTCCAGGAGAGAAGACAAAAATTATGTCACCATCAAGGAAAGTATCCAAAATCTCTGGCTTAAACCTGGGCGTCTCCAGCTCTGGGACAGGTGGCTGGGCAGGGAAGACAAACTAAGCCAAGGGCCCAGCTCGGAAGAGTTTCCTTTCCTGAGAATTCTGCAGGAGTTTCCCTGACCTCATGGCCACCTCTCATACTTTGCTCTTGTTTTTTCCCCAGGGCCGATGAGGGCGTCGTATCTGGTTTCCAGTGGGGTCTAAAGACGCCATCACAGTGAGTGGAGATTGGGCTTCATAAAGTGGGAGATCTCCAGGATCCTTCCTGGAATCCAAGATTCCCAGAGAAGCCGGATCCCGCGTCCCGGAACCCAACTCCTGCTGCTCTATGAGCCCTGACCTTGGGGAGACCTGGGCTAGTGAGGAGAGGATCAAGATGAACTGGGCTGGGGAGGCAGGAGGTAAAGGGCGGCCTGGAGAGCTCAGCAGCTCCTCCCACGGCTCTTCTGCCCCGGTCTGGGGTCTGCAGACTCCTCAGGTCATATCTCCAAGTACGCCGCCCCACGCCACCCTCCCGTGGTCCCTGTCCCTCTGTCCCCTCCCCAGCTCCCCCTACACCGTAAGAAGCTCCCAGGTAAGCGGCTCCAGGGCCGGGCGGTAGGCAGGAGGGAGCCCGGGAGGCTGGGTACCCGCGGGGAGGCGGAGAGAGCGCGTCAGGGAGACAGGGAGCGGGCGGGGTCCCTCTCCAGCCCTCAAGGTGCCGGTTCCCGGGGCCCAGGCTCGCACTCCCGGGTACTTGGAGGCCAGGGGAGAGGGAGGACTGTGGCAGGTGAGGCAAGGAGCTGTCTGAGCCGCTCAGCAGCCTCCAGGAGTCAGCTCTCTCCAGGCCTGTCTTCACTCCAGTGCCTGGTCCTGCCCAGGCCCCCACTCCCACTCTGCTCTCAACCTGGCCCCAGACAGGATCCCAAACAACTCCTGTTCCTAATGTGAAAAATGTTTCTGCCGCTTTAGGCAGAACTTGCTTTAGAGCACTGGCGCAGACTTCCGCAGGTCTTGTGTCTGAATTTCTTGGCACTGTGTCTTTTCTCACTTATTCTTCTGCAAGGAAGGAATTATATCACTGGTTGGATGAGACAATTGGCTCAGATGGGTTCATTGAGCACTCACCCACTGGGCAAGTGTCTGTCGGGGCCAGCTCTGGGCCAGATGTGCCCAAGGCTCTATAGCTAGTTGGTGGAAAGGCCTGGAGGGTTCATATTCAAGTCCACCTGACTTGAAAACTCATATTGACCTTACTTAAGTACTGATTCCCCCTTTATAATCCATGCCATAAACTTCATTGTCTTATTTTAAGAAATTGCCACAGCAGCCTTTAGCAACCACCCTCTTGAACAGCCGGTAGTCATCAACATTGAGGCAAGACCCTCCTCCAGCAAAAAGATTAAAATTAGCTGAAGCCTCAGACGACCGTTAGCATTTTTTAGCAATAGAGTAATTTTAAATTAAGGTATGTACATAGTTCTTTCATACATAATGCTATTGTACACTTACTAGGCTACAGTAGAGTGTGAATATAACTTTTATATGTACTGGAAAAACAAAAATTTGTGTGACTTGTTTGTTGCCATGGCCTGAAACCAAATCTGCAGTATCTCTGAGGTATGTCTATAATTTCCCTTTCCCTCTTTTGAACTTGTTCTTGTCCTTGTCTGGTCCTGCAAGCTGTATGAGTTTGCCTTCTCTGGTAGGTCTGGGGACATTGTATCCCTTATAACCTTGGTTCCTGGCATATGACACTGGTACCAAGCTCTGTTGGACTAGTGAGGCTCCCCACACACCTCCTGAACTAGAGCAAAAGCTCTGTGCACACACCGTGCATGTGTGAGCCTGTGAGGAGACGGGGCCTTCCTGCAGGCTGTTCTGAAGGGGTGTTCTGTTGTGACTGGAGGAAATAGCAATGGGCCCCTGGGCAGAAGTGGCTCAGAATGGAATGGATGGCCCCAGTTTTGATCATCTGGGAACAGGAAGATTCTCAGATAAAAACCCATGTTTTAGAAGACAAAACTGCCCAAGAGTGGACAGCAGCTAACCAGTAAGCTATCTGGGATATCACTGTACACTGGGAGGGAAGATGGCCTCTGCCATGGTGTAGGGTGCCTGACCCAGACAAGGAGGCCTTCCTAGGGGTCAGTGCTTCTGAAGCACCTTTAAATGAGGACAAATACCTCATGTTCATGATTAGCCGACTTGTGCCCACTCAGTGGAAAAAGAACCCAGAATTTTGCAAAATTTTCAGAGAGAGGGATTCCCCTCTTGTCTCTTAGTGCTAGGGTTATGCATGACTCGTGCTTGAATTACAGTGTGTACTCAGCTGAAAGTCTTAATTATTAGAATATAAGAGGCCCAAACTACTGCTGTTACAGATATGTAAAACTACACAGTATAAGTTTAAACAACCCACAACCAATTAACAGTGAAGATAAATTAACAACCTTTGTAAATTTAAAACAAGATTGGCAACCCTTTAGAAAAAAAATGAGACTGTTGCAAAACAATCTAAATGATACACTAATAACAAACCTTCATGAAAATGACATTTCAACCATCTGAATTTCTGCTTTAAGTTATAAACTCCAAAATGAACTAACTCCCAATAATTTACAGTAGGGAGCTCTAAGCCACAAATAAAGGTGTCAGGACAGACCTGAGACCTGGAGTGAGCACATCCCTCAGGGTCATGAGTCAATCCTGTAAGACCCTTCCTCCCTCAGACACTCCATCCAGTCATCAGGAGGTCAAGAAAAGTTCCCCACAGCACTAAGACCCAACCACCTCACTGTCCTCACCTCCATGGACAGAGCCCAGGTGAAAGCCACCCCTGCTCCTCCTCCCGCATCCCCCACAGGCTCAGCACCATCGTCGGCCTGGAGTGCACCTGGACTGAGCTCATCATGCTCTGTCCCTGTTTGTGTCAGTCACACTGGGTCCCCCACATACTCTGCACTTGCATCCCCACAAGGCTCTGCACACCTCTATTCTGTCTCCCCGACCTCCCCAGCCACAGAAATCTTCCCAGTGCACCCCCTGGATTTCTCAGTCCACATCAGCAAAACCTCCTCAGCCTCTCTCAGGATGTTCCTGCATCTCACAGCTCCAGCAGCAACCTGGGTCTCCCTGAGGACATGACCCCCTCCGAAGTCCTCCCACATGGGGGAGTTTCCCCAGGGACTTGTACCCCTGGGTTCAGAGGTGAGGTGGGGTCCTTGCTCCTCATTGTGGTTCTCAGAACTTTCTGCCTCCCTCCTCCCTAAAACCCCTAGGCTGTCATCAGATTAGAGCCCCATTTGCCTCACTGTAACCATTCCCTGTGGGCCCCAGGCTGTTCTTCTCAATCCTGAGTCTTGTAGCTCCTGGTTCACTGTCACCCTCTCCAGCATTGCTGTCTCCTTGACTCTTGGTGACTTCAACATACGCAGATGTGGTGGGCTGAGTAATGGTCCCCAAAGATGTCCAGTCTTAATCGTTGGAACCTGTGAACAGGTTGCATTGCGTGGCAAAAGGGATATTACTCATGTAATGAAGATTAAGGACCTTAAAATAGGGAGATTCTGCTGGACTCTCTGTGTGGGCCCAATCAAATCACAAGAGCCATTAAAAGCAGAGAGCCTGCCCTGGTTGGAGTCAGATTCTGCAGAGGAGGAAGGCAGAGGAGAAGCTGGAGAGGAGAGGTCAGAAGTTCCAAGCAGGAGGATTGAATGTGCCTTAGGCACCGTGTGTGAGTATCTGAGAGAAGGCTCTAGGAGCTAAGGGTGGCTCTTAACAAGGAAGTGGAAACCTCTTTTCTATCTGCAAGGAAGTGAATTCAGGCAAGAACCTGAATGAGCTTGGAAGTGGATTCTTCCCCAGAGTCTATGGAAAGGAATGCAGACCTTCCCGTATGTTGATCTTAGCCCCATGAGACTGGGTGGACTTGCAATCCACACGACTGTGCCATGATACATAGGTGCTGTTTAAAGCCATTTGGTTTGTGGTAATTTTTATGGCAGCAATAGACACCCACACAGCAGAGAAGATGCCCTCGCTTCCTGGCCTCTCAGATCCTGGAACTCCTCTCCTCCATGATCTTCTCCTGTCTGCCTGAATCTCATGCCCTTGTTATCCCCTAGGCCTCATCATGGCTAAGAACCCCAGCCCTTCCATACTCTCTATCTCACACTACCCACTCTCTGACCATCTTTCCACTCATCCCCTTGCAAGGTGGCCACAGGCTCTGAGGACACAGATACTATCATTTTATCATATGCTGTGATGTAATATCAGTGGACCACTCATTGCATATGTGCTTGCTTTCCACGCTTGGAGTCTACCCTGTAGTACATCAATTCCAACAATCGTTCCACCCTCCTGGGATTCCCAATCCAGTGATCCTGCCATCTACTCACTGTCCCTCACCCTGGGTGTCCTGTCCTCCCTCCTCACCCATTTTGAATTCTATGGTAAATAATTTCCATCCCTCCCTTCCCTCTCCCTTGAATTGTCACACTCACCTGGCAAAACTACACAGCTGGTGGGTTCCACCTCTGCCTATGCTGAGCCTGCCCCCATGAGCTGCAGGAGGCTGGAGAGCAGCACACAGTACGCTGACTGGTCTCTTAAAATTTAGGATTCCAAACCACATAGGAAGTCCCTACCATGGCCAGCAATCACCCTCTCCCTGCATGGCTCACCCTCAGCCTCCTCCTGGCCTGGGTGACTCTTACACACCTTTTCTTTGTGCTCACACATCCAACCTGCCTTCCCCATTCTTACTTCAGCTGATGACCTTGCTTCCCACTTCACTGAGAAAACTGAACACATTAGAAGACAACTTCACAGATTCCACCACTGTCTGCTCATGCATTTGCAGCTGCACCACATGTCAGGCGTTTTACCATGTGAGGGACTGTTGTGGGTTAACCCTTCTGCTCCCAGCCAGAGCCAGACCCTCTTCTGGTGCCCCAATTGCCATCCCTTATCATCTACTTAAAGGTGTCAGTTCATCAATTAATACCATTTTTATCTTTATCGTCAACCTTTTTCCTCTCTCCCCACTGGATCATTGTGGCAGTCATGAGAATGCACATCCCAGCCCCTCATCTAGAAGAAGCAGAATTGATGATGGCCCCAGCTCTTGAAGTCTGAAATCTATTGCCACATTTGCTCTGAGACTATGCCCACCCCTGGCTTTTTCCAGCCAATGATTGAGGAAAGTAGGGCAGAAACTAAGGCAGGACATTCCTCTTCTGAAGGCTGACTGAAGCTCCAGGGCTCCCTGCCACCCTTACTGAACTTCCCTTAGCCTGCACAGGGTCTAGGATGCTTCCAGCTGACCTTCCTGCACTCTCTACATCACTGAGGCTCAGAGTTGCTTTGTGGTCCAGTGGCTTTCCCAGCATTTTCTGTCTCATGAATTTCTCTCACAAGTATTTCCCCTAATAAATCCTTACATGTTTACTACTGTATTGGGGTCCGCTTCTCAGGGGACCCTAACTAACACAAGTGGCATGAAGGGTGATCCATGAAAACAGGCAAAAATGGGAATTTGAAATAAGCTTCCCACTGCCTGGCAGGCCAAGAGGATGCCACCCGGGTTGGTGGCAGACACAGAAAGTCCATGGCACAAGGTGCAGCTGAGCAGCTGGGGGTCTCACCAGTGCTGAGCTGAGAAGTTGCCTTGGTTAGGGAGTGCTATGGCACATGCAGTGATAGAATGCCCTGCATAATAAGGACAGGGTTGGAAGAAACCTACAAAGACAGTGGCTTTGGCTAGTTACTTCTCAGCTGCATCGATGCTGTGTAAAAAGATAATGAGAATCTGCGGATTGTTGACAGCTATGACTGGCTACATTTGACACCCTCGGCAGTGTCTCATGGACAGGTCTTTATCTCCTGTAGCAAAAGGGCAGATAGCAAGGAATGTTAGCTCTACATCACTATGAGGGCCACAGTGCTCCAGAGATGTTTGACACTCAGCCAAGGCAGGCCTGTTACAGGAAAGTCAGGGCTTTGGTGGGGAAACCTGAGATTCTGCAAACTGGAACAGGATTATGCGATGCGTGCCCTCCAGGATCTTCTGGGCATGCAGAGGAGGCTCACCCTTCTCTAGTAATGGTTCCCACTTTCACTGCTGGAAGATGCTACACAATCCTCACCCCTATGATGCCGCGGGAATCCCACTCAGGAGGTTTGCAGGAACTAGCCAGCACGTCCCCATAGGAGCCCAGGGACTACTTCTGGGATTGGAATTTGAGGGTGTTTGATCAAGGAACCAGAATTTCAGGCTGGATGAATATAATCCTTTGGCTTGAAGACACTTTCTCAGGGCATGGATTTATCAAACACTCCAGGACTTTGATAAGTGGAGTAAACCCACTGCTGGGGTGTATCCACATAGTCTAGAAAAAAACATGCCCAACTCTCAACAAGGTAGACATGTCTTAGTTGCCCTGGAACATGTAGAGGATGGAATAACAAGCTGAGGGGAGTGGGCTTGGTGAAGGCCTACCAAAACCATGCTCTACAAGAGGGCCCAGAGGACACACCTTCCACCAGAGCCTCAGGAACTTGATGGTGAGAGGGACCTGCATCACTAAGAAGTGTCAGGGTATTGTCCTTTGTAGGCTGGGGGTGATGGTAGTAAAGATAGTCCCAGAGTTTCATTTCTAATATCACTGGGGAGAGTGTGGCCCTGAAGAGACAAAGACCAAGTGGTGGCAGTGACTTGCAAAAGCCAGAGGGCACGGTTACTATGGCAACCTCGGAGGAGAAGCCAAGAGGACTCAAGCTGCAGGGAATGTGGGGAAGTATAATAGAGGGTGGTGTCCCAGGGTTAGGACAGGCAGCTGGTTGATATCTATGATAAGAAAGCAAGAATTGAGAAGCAGGAGGGTGAAGGTGTTTGACTCAATACAAAATCATGATCCCATCCTCAATGCCTAGACCTCAGCCAAGATGCAGATTCAGATCTCAGTGACAGAGGAAGAGTCCATATCTCTAGGCGGAATACTCTGCAACCCCGTGGAAGTATATGCTGGGACAATTCCCTCAGTCCTTCGGCAAAGGACCATATAGCCATTTACTCAGGAGATTGTACACTGGGGAAAGGAAACAGGCAGAACTGGGGGGATTATTGACACTGGGTGTGAACTGACATTGATGCTCAGATGCCCACAGCACTATCATGTCTCTCATCACAGTGGGGCTTATGGAGCTCAGGGAGTAAACCTGGACACATTATGGCCCACAATGGAACTACTGGATCCATAGACCCAGCCCTGGTTATCTTCCTATACCCTGAGTGCACAATTGACACTGATGCACTGCTAAGTGGAGTTACCCCCACCCTGGGTCCCTAGTCTGTGGAGTAAGGACTTTCATTGTGCTGAAAGCCAAAGGGAAACCTCTGACACTGCCCCCATCCTGGCCAAATCAAAAATCATAGTGTGTCCCAGGGTGGGTCTTGTGTAAGATACTTCAAGTATTGTGGGGATCACATCACCATTACAGAGCTGAAGGATGTGGGATGGTGTTGGGGCTGTCTATTGTCTCTACGTAATCCAGCAACCTGTCCCTGAAGAAGCCTGATGAAGCCTAAAGAATGAACTAGATTACTCCAGGTCTGGCCAAGTAGGAGTTATAATTGCAGCTTTTGTGCTGTCTGGATATCACTGGTAGAGCAGATTAATAAACCCTTGGACACAGAGCATGCAGCTGTGGATTTGGTGACTGCATTTCTTTCCACTCCAATTAGAAAGTGGATATGGAGTGATTCACATTCATGTGGGATCCTCAAAACATTGATTTATCATTTGTCTCAGGGCTATTGTAACTCCCCTGACCTCTATAGTATAGTCTTAAGACTATACTAAACATACTGGATATCCAATAGGATATTAAATCAGCTCATATCATTGACAACTTCCTGTTGACCTGGCTGGATGAGCAGCAGGTAGAAAGTGCACTGTAGTGCTTGGCAAAACACGGGCACTCCAGAAGGTGAAGATAAACCTTACAAAGCTTCCAGAGTGGCCACTCGGCCAGGTGCAGTGGCTCACGCCTGTAATCCCAGCACTTTGGAAGGCTGAGGTGGATGGATCACCTGAGGTTGGGAGTTGGAGACTAGCCTGACCAACACGGAGAAACCCCATCTCTACTAAAAATACAAAATTATCCAGGCATGGTGGCCCATGCTGGTAATCCCAGCTACTTGGGAGGCTGAGGCAGGAGAATCACTTGAACCCAGGAGGCAGAGATTGCAGTGAGCCAAGATCGTGCCATTGCACTCCAGAGTGGGCAACAAGAGCAAAATTCCATCTCAAAAAGAAAAAGATAGTGGGCATTGAAGTAAAGTTTTATGGGTGAACAATGGCCAAGTGTTTAGGGGAATGCAGGTGTGTCCCCTCCAAGGTAACAGACAAACTGTTTCATCTTGCATCCTCACCAGAAAGAAGGAAGCACACTGCCTGATGAGCCTCTTCCAGTTCTGACAACACCACTTTCCACATCTAGGTATGTTGCTTTGGCCCACACTCTAGGTGACATAGGAGGAGGCCAGCTTCAAGTAGGGCCCACACAGAAAAGGACCCTGCAGCAGATCCAGGCCATGGTGCGAGCAGCCACCATCTCTCAGACCCCCTGGTGCTGGTGATGCCATTGGTAGGGAAAGATGCAGGATGGAGCTGAACCAAGCACCAGTGGGAAAGTCACAGTGAAAGGCCTGGGATTCTGGAGTAAGGTCATGTCATTCACAGCAGAGACATATGCCACCTATTAGAAGCAACTTTTAGTGTCCCTTGTCCTGATTAGATAGAATGCTTGACCACGGGACACCAAGCAACTATGTGGTTCGAGTGCCTGTGTGACCCACAGAGTCATAGATTAGACAGGCCCAACAGCATCCATCGTGAGGTGAAAATGGTCCACCTGGGTTGAGCTTGAATCCCATGTTTACACCCAGAGAAAATACCCAAGTCTGAAGTGGCACTGAACAACCAAACAGACAAATGGAAGTTAGCCAGCCTTCACCATGGGTCAGCCCTGGTTTGGTAGGATGAGTTCATGAATGGAGCAACCACAGTGGCAGGCATGAGGCTACGTATGGGGCCAACAGCACTGACTCCCCCCTACCAAGGCAGATCCAGCTGCCGACACCTCTGAATGTCCAACTCATTAGCAATTGAGGCCCATGATGTGCCCCAGTGGGGCACTATTTCTTTAGGTGACTAACTAGCCACTAAGTAACAAGTTGACTACATTTAGCTACTTCCATCCTGGAAGGGCCAGAGGTTCATCTTCACAGGGATAGGCTCCTATTCCATGGGTGTTTTCATGTCCTGCTCTCAGAAACTCAGCCAGCACCTCTCCGGGTGCTGTTGACATTCCTGATCTGCAGGCTAGGCGGTGCTCCTAGCCCATTATCTGCCTGAAGGACCCACTTGGCTGGGAAAGTTTCAGTGTTTCCATGGCTGTGGGTTCCACTAATCCTATCACCATCTGCACCATCCAGAGGCTGCCAGCCACAAGGAATGCTGGACAGGTCTTCTACAGGCAAAACTCAGTGCCAGCCTGGAGGAAGCACTCTGAGAGGTGGGTGCCATCTTTTAGGACACGGTGCATTGTTTGAATCAGAGATGTCTCTAGAGTGCTGTGTTCTCAATAGGAAGAACATGTGTGTCCAGGGATCAAAAGATGGAAGCAGGTTTGGCTCCACGTCCAATCCCTTAGATTCACCCAATGGGGTATTTTGCACGTTTTATCTTCCAACACTGGGCTGTGCAGGGTACGAGGTCCTGGTTTCCAAGGAGGGTACCCTTAAAAGGAGACAAAAGACAGCCCACTGAACTACACATTATGGTTGTCACGAGAGAAGTTTTGATAGTTTGTGCCCAGAGACCACCTGGTGAAAAGAGGATTCTCCTCCTCTCCAGGCCCAGGTAACAGATCCTCATCTTCAGGAGAAGGCATGGCTACTTTCACACAATGAGGGCGGAAGTGTGTGTGGAAACCAGAGATCCACCTGGGGGCCTTCTGGTTTCCCTTACCTCATTGTAAGTGTGAGCAGAATCATCCAGCAATTCAGCCTGAGACAGCTTGATTTCCAAGGACCCAGACCCGTCAGGGCAGAAGGTTTGAGTAATGCTGGGTAATCTCCCAAGGCCCTGCTCCTGTGCTCTGACATCCTCAGTAGCATTGGTGCTGAGGTCCTGCTTCCAATGGGCTGTTCCCAACCAGTGACAGATCACACCAGTGACACGAAAGCAGGACATTCCTGGGAGACCAGGGACTCCTCTGATGGCCAACTGTAGCTCAAGGACTCCTCCATGGCCTTGCTTAACTCTCCTTAGATTGCCTGTGGTCTACGGCACATCCAGTAAACCTTGTCTCCTTCTGTCCATCACTGGGGATCACCTTTGCATCTTGTTGCCTTTCCCAGGGTAACCTACCTCCCTTGCCATATCACCTGACAGGTGTGTCCCCTAATAAAATGCTATAACTTTAATCCCATGATGGAACTTGCTTTTTGGAGCATTTGGACTATAAAATCATTTTCATCTGCCCACTAGTGATCTCTTACTTATTCCAATGTGTAAAATCTTTTTGTTTATTCAACTTCTACCTGCATTGGCTCCATTTTGCTGGTATTTGTAGTATGCTTTTGAGTTCCTCAATGTTTATTGTTTAATCACTAAATTTGGGGGTAGTTTGTTACACAGCAATGGATAACTAATGAAGCCCTCTTACATTTCCATTAT
The DNA here is from genome assembly GCF_000001405.40 of Homo sapiens. Taxonomy (NCBI): domain Eukaryota; kingdom Metazoa; phylum Chordata; class Mammalia; order Primates; family Hominidae; genus Homo; species Homo sapiens. The sequence goes on from NT_167247.2 coordinate 1,136,743, forward strand.
TCTATAGAAGTTAACTACATCTCTTTTATTTTCTCCTATTTTGATAATATTAGCCACACATAGGGTTTCTAGTTTCTCAACACCTATTCTTTTCTTTATTTTAGTTTCTTTTCTCCTTTATTCCTTCCCTTTTTTTTTTTTTTTTTTTGAGATGGAGTCTCACTCTCTTGCCCAGGCTAAAGTGCAGTGGCTCAATCTCAGCTCACTGCAAGCTCTGCCTCCTGGGTTCATGCCATTCTCCTGATTCAGCTTCCCAAGTAGCTGGGACTACAGGCACCTGCCACCACGCCCAGCTAATTTTTTTGTATTTTCAGTAGAGACGGGGTTTCACCATGTTAGCCAGGAAAGTCTCTATCTCCTGACCTCATGATCTGCCTGCCTCAGCCTCCCAAAGTGCTGGGATTGCAGGCATGAGCCACCACACCTGGCCTCTTCCTTCCCTTTCTCCTTCCTTCTAACCCTCCCTCCCTCTCTTTCTTCTCTATTTCCATTCAACCTATCACCTTCCCTCCTTCTTGCTCCCTTTCCTTCCCCTTCCCCTTCCTTCTTTTCTTCTTTCACTTTTTCCTCCATTCCTCCTTCTTTCCCTCCCTTCCTCCATTTTTTCCTTTTTATTATAAAATTTTCCTAAAATATAAAATAACCCTATGTGATTGGGCTGTAAGTAAGCATTTTCTGAATCTATATGTCAAAAGCATAATGTCTTTTATATGAGAAACAAGTAAACAACAGGAAGTTATTAACAGAATAAAAATGCTTGCTATAATTCTACCACCAAGACGGTGACTTTTAACACAATTCCTTCAACTCAGTGTTTTCAGAACACATCATCAACATCAAGTATTACACATTTATTGTAAAAGTTTAAGTAGCCACAATTACTTTGGAAATCATATTATCATTATCTAGTATGGTTAAAGTCCATACAATGTATCATGCAACCAACCCATTCCTAATCATCCACTCTGGGGGCTTTGGGGCTTTCTTGCCTATGTGCACAGGAGACATGCACACTAATATTTATGGCAAAAACTGGAATCGGCCACATGTACATCAATAGGAAACCGGTGAAATTGTGGTAAAACGATATGTAAGCCTTCAGCGTAAAAATGAATGAATGACAGCCTCCCACACCACAGATAACTCCTACACATAATGTGTATCATGGGAAAATACATGCAGTAGGAATTTGCTGTACAGGAAGCTTAAAAACCAGCAAAACTAACTGAGGTTTGTTTTGGGGAGATATATATATATATATATATATATATATATAGATATAGATATAGATATAGATATAGATATAGATATAGATATAGATATATATATATAATATACACTTATTGCACAAATCTTTGAAGGAATACAAAGGAATACGTATCAGAAGACTCAGGATGGAGTCTCCTGCCGAGACCAGCTCGGTCAGGAAGACCCTAACCCAGTGGTGCTAGAGGACTTAAAGACACACACACAGAAATATAGAGGTGTGAAGTGGGAAATCGGGGGTCTCACAGTCTTCAGAGCTGAGAGCCCCAAACAGATATTTACCCACATATTTATTAACAGCAAACCGGTCATTAGTGTTGTTTCTATAGGTATTAAATTAACTAAAAGTATCCCTTATAGGAAGCAAAGGGATGGGCTGAATTAAAGGAATAGGTTGGGCTAGTTAACTGCAGCAGGAACACACCCTTAAGACACAGATCGCTCATGCTATTGTTTGTGGCTTAAGAATGCCTTTAAGCGGTTTTCCGCCCTGGGCAGGCCAGGTGTTCCTTTCCCTCATTCTTGTAAACCTGCAACCTTCCAGCTTGGACATTAGGGCCATTATGAACATGTTACGGTGCTGCAGAGATTTTGTTTATGGCCAGTCTTGGGGCCAGTTTATGGCCAGATTTTGGGGGACTTGCTCCCAACGGTCTCCTTCTAGGGGGTGACTGGGTAGCAGCCCAGGGTAGCTTTACAGGTTTGTGTTTTACACCAGCGCTGGGCACCCTCGTAGATACTTGATTATAATTCCTTAAACAGAGTTTTCCAAATTAAAATATACCTGTTTTTTATAGAAATGAAAAAGAAAAGAATTTCAAAGTTCATTGCAAAGATTCTTAACAAGAACTACTTACATTGGAAGAAAACCACAGAGAATTGTAAGGAGCCATGTGACAGAGAGGACCAGGATGCCATGAAAATGGCATTGGCTACAAATAGGTCATTTGATCCTTGGCTCCCTGGCATCTCTCTAGATTTTCAATGATACAATGTTCAATCTGCTGTGCAAGATAATTTCATCTTCCAAAGATTTGATGTTACATTTTACCACACATTAAACTGAAATAAACTTTTACAGATTGGAAATGCACATCATTGATCAAAATAAATGAAACATGAAAAGAGTAGGGAGGAATACCCAGTGATGGAATAGCAAATATGAATGGAAAACAGAATAGGACTGCTAAAAAGAAAAAAAAATTCAGAAGCATGTAATAGCAGCGCTATTTAGAATCATAGTGGTGTCCAAATCACTTCTATCACATCTCATTCAATACCACAACAAAAGATGTTAAGTTTATTATAGAATGCCCATCAAATAGCCAGTTTTTGAAAAAAACTTGTTTCTCAATTAGAACTAACCATTTCGGGCTATAGCATCAAGCCAAAATTATTGGCATCATGCTAATAATTTTTACTAAAGTAAAATAAAGTTTACTGAAGTATGAGATTCACATTTTTGTAAATGAAAAGCAATTTGATTAGGCATTTTTTTCTGCACAGCAAAAGAAACTATCATCAATCACAGTGAACAGACATCCTACAGAATGGGAGAAAAATTTTGCAGTCTATCCATCTGACAAAAGTCTAGTATTCAGAATCCACAAAGAACTTAAGCAAATTTACATGAAAAAAAAACTTCATTAAAAAGTAGACAAAGAACTTGAACAGACACTTCTAAAGAAGACATACATGTGGCCAACAAAAATATGAAAAAAAGCTCAACATCGCTGATCATTGGAGAAATGCAAATCAAAACCACAAATGAGATACCATCTCATGTCAGTCAGAATGGCAATTATTAAAAAGTCAAGAAACAACAGATGCTGGCGAGGTTGCAGAGAAATAGGAATGCTTTTACACTGTTGGTGGAAAAGTCAATCGGTTAATCCATTGTGGAAGACAGTGACAGTGTGGTGATTCCTCAGAGATTTAGAATCAGAAATACCATTTGATCCAGCAATCGCATTACAGGGTATATACCCAAAGGAATACAAATCATTCTATTATAAAGATACATGCATGTTTACATTCATGGCAGCACTATTCACAATAGCAAACACATGGAATCAACCCAAATGCCCATCAATGATGAACTGGATAAAGAAAATGTGGTACATATACACCATGGAATATTATGCAGCCATAAAAAGGAATGAGATCAAGTCCTTTGCAGGGATATGGATGAAGCTGGAAGCCATTATCCTCAGCAAACTCACACAGGAACGGAAAACCAAACACCACATGTTCTCATTTATAATTGGGAACTGAGTAATGAGAACACATGGACACAGGGAGAGGAACAACACACACTGGGGCCTATTGGGGCAGGGTGGTGGTGGGAGGATCATTAGCAAAAATAGCTAATGCATGCCAGGGTTAATACCTAGGTGATGAGTTGACAGGTGCAGCAAACCAACATGGCACATGTTTACCTATGTAACAAACCTGCACATCCTGCACGTGTACCCTGGAACTTAAAAAAAATTAAATTAAAAGACAAGCTTAAAGAAAAAGACAAGCTGAAAGAGTTAATGAAAAATAATTAGATAAAAGAAGTCTTTGATTTTCAAAAACCTGAAACAATAGTTATAATTTTGCTTTTAACATATATTCAAAACATTTGATACTGTTCCCTTCCAGAGGTGCATCTTAATTCCCTCTCCTGAGTGTGGCTTGGACTTAATGAGGCACTTCTGATATGGCCTGGTTCTGTGTTCCCACCCAAATCTCATCTTGAATTGTTATGCGAATTGTAATCGCTACCTATTGGGGGAGGGACCACATGGGAGGTGATTGGATAATGGGGGCGGTGCCCCCATGCTGTTCTCGTGATACTGAGGGAATTCTCATGAGATCTGATGGTTTTATAAGGGGCTTTTCCCTGCTTCATTCTGCACTTCTCTCTCCTGTCATCATGTGAAGAAGGATGTGTTTGCTTCCACTTCTGCCATGACTGTAAGTTTCCTGGGGCAGGCTCCTCAGCCATGCAGAACTGTGAGTCAATTAAACCTCTTTCCTTTATAAATTACCCAGTCTCAGGTATTTCTTCATAGCAGTGTGAGAATGGACTAATATAACTTCTAACTTATAGAATAATGCTGACATAATGGTTTGTAACTCTGGGTGTAGAACCTAAAACTCACTGCGGCTTCCACCTTCTCTCTCTCTGTCTCTGGGATCATGAGCTCTGGGGGAAGCCAGCTGCTGTGCCACAAGCAGCCCTGCAGGAAGGTCCATGTGGCTGAGAACTGAGGCCTTCCGGGACCAGACAACAAAGAACTAGGCCTTTTCCAACAGCCATGTGACTGATCCATGTTTCATGTGAATCCTCAGCCCCAGTGAAGCCCTCAGATGATGCAGCCCTTGGCTGACAATTGGACTGCAACCTTGTGAGAGGCCCCGAGCAAGAAGCACTCAGGGAAACCTCTCCTGGACTCCTGACCATTGGAAACTGTGGCAGATGAGGAATATTTGTTGTTTTAAGCTAAGTTTTACATAATTTGTTATGCAATAGTAAATAAATAACACATTTTCACAAGAGAGGATGTATTATTACACATTAAATTGCATTTGCTTTAAATGTATCATCGTCATCATTATTATTTTTGAGACATGGTCTCGCTCTGTCACCCAGGCTGGAGTGCAGTGGCATGATCACCATGCACTGCAGTGTCGACCTCCTGGGTTCAAGGGACCCACTGATCTCAGCCTCCTGAGTAGCTGGGACTACCATCATGAACTACTATGCCTGGCTAATTTTCTAATTTTTTGTATAGATGGGGGTTTTGCCCAGGCTGATCTTGAACTTCTGGAGTCAACAAATCTGCCTTCCTCTGCCTTCCACAGTGCTAGGATGGCAGGCGTGAGCCACCATACCTGGCGTAAATTAATTATAAGATATTAAACATGTAACTTAGTTTTAAAAGGTAAGGAGAATTTCCATGGCTGAAGAGGATGTATTTTATGACCATTCACAATGATCACTTTACTTGAACTTCAATTTCCAACTGTGTCCGAAGTAAACACAAAAGGAAGATCCAACCCTTGCTAGGCTGATTCTATTATGCCCTCAACAACCAGCTCCTGGTCATTCACCATCCTCCAGTTATTCAATCAACTCTAATGTAGGTGCTGCTGTGAAGGGAGTTAGTGGATATAATTAAGGGTCTCAATTAGTTGACTTTAGGCTGGGTTTATCCTGCTTGGACTGTCCTAATCAGGTGAGACCTTGAAAGGACTGGGTTCTTCCTGAGCATAGAGACTCACAGTGTGAGAGGGACTCAGCATGAGGGGTTTCCTCCAGCATGGGCTTTGAAAATGAAAGGGCTGTGGGCCGGGTGCGGTGCCTCACGCCTGTAATCCCAGCACTTTGGGAGGCTGAGGCGGGCGGATCATGAGGTCAGGAGATCGAGACCATCCTGGCTAACATGGTGAAACCCTGTCTCTACTAAGAATACAAAAAAAAAAAAAAAAATTAGCCAAGCGTAGTGGTGGGTGCCTGTAGTCCCAGCTGCTTGGGAGGCTGAGACAGGAGAATGGCGTGAACCTGGGAGCCATAGCTGGCAGTGAGCCGAGATCCGGCCACTGCACCCAAGCCTGGGCTACAGAGCAAGACTCCATCTCCAAAAAATAAATAAATAAAATAAAAAATGAAGGGGCTGTGTAGGAAAGAATGCTGGTGAGGACCAGGAATCGAGCACAGCCCTCCCTGTTCTCTACATTGACAGCCAGCAAGGAACAGGGACCTCAGTCTTACAACTGCCAGAAACTGCATTCTGCCACCTCTGTATAAGCCTGAAGGAGGATTCAAAATGAAAACACAGCTTTTGGAAGCCCAGAAGAGAGATTCCATCCACAATTTTGCCCAGATTTCTGATCAAGGAACTATAAGCAGATAAATGGGTGTTGTTTCGCCAGGCATGGTAGTGCACGAATGAATTGATGAATTGATATGCACACTAGTTACATAAAATAAAAATTTTCTGAACTTTTTCCGTGTTTTGCACTTTATAATTATCTGTAATGCAATTTAATACACTCATATTTCATTCATTCAGTCGACAAAAATTAATTTAGTCCCTACGATAAACCAGATATCCCCTCATATGCTCACGTGCCTGACACTCCAGAAGTTTCTCAAGACCGAGGTGGAGACACTGGAGTGTTTTAAGTGGAGAGATGACACACTCCGACTCCCAGGAGCAGGACCACTGTGAAAAGAACAGTCACGTAACAGGTCATGGGACAGTGCTAGTGTCACAACTCACAAGTGACAGTGTGGTGGGGACTAAGGGGACAGGAGGGCCTGAAGGATGAAAAGGACGGAGAGAAGGGCTGGAGAAGCAGGAGGTGAAGAAAAGGAGCAGAGGAAAGAATTCGAAAGCAGCAGAATTCTTAGGTTTAAATACATTGTTTTATGGATTTTAATACATCCATCTACAGAGCCTAGCAGGGTGTCCTTGGCAGTTGGCCTTTAATACCTCATGTGGGTCTGCCTAAAAACTAATTTTTTAATGTTAATCAGGTTTAAAAATTACTAAGTGTTCCTATAAAATATACACAACACTTAGCAGTGGATACTTCCTAAAAACAGGCAGTGCATGAGCACTAGTGAGGGGCATTGCGACTACATTGAACAGTTGCAACTTTGAGGTGAATAAAGCCTGTACTGACTCCTGGTTGCAACGTACCTGGTTGCAAAGTACACAGTGTGCTACTTTGTATTGAGGAGATATCCTGGACTCACACAGAAACTCAGAGCTATGGAATGATGGCAAATTTAAAATATGACAAGCGGGAGTCACAGGTACACTGCAAAAGTGAAACTTAGAAGCTTTGTGAGTCCTGTTCTAACGCTTTTGGGCACATTTATACATCATGGGGCCAAAGTCACATTTTTTACCGATTAGATTCCTGATCATTCAGGGGTTACCAAGGTTCTGCTATCCAATGTATTTAATAAACAAATAAATAAATAAACTGGTCTCTATTCTGTCTCATGCACTCAGGCACAACTTTTCCCAATAAAAAAAAAAAAAAAAAGGAAAACAAAAAACAGTTTCTACACCTCCATTCCCAGAGCAAGCTCACTCTCTGTCACCAAACTCCGTGGGTGACTTTTCTTCTAGAAGAGTCCAGGTGGACAGGGAGTCCAGTTCAGGGACGGAGATTCCTGGATGAAAAGTGAAGGGAGAGGGACAGGGCCCATGCCGAGGGTTTCTTCCTGGTTTCTCAGACAGCTCCTGGGCCAAGACTCAGGGAAACACTGAGACAGAGCGCTTGGCACAGGAGGAGCGGGGTCAGGGCGAAGTCCCAGGGCCCCAGGCGTGGCTCTCAGGGTCTCAGGCCCCGAAGGCGGTGTATGGATTGGGGAGGCCCCGCCTTGGGGATTCGCCACCTCCGCAGTTTCTCTTCTTCTCACAACCTGCGACGGGTCCTTTTTCCTGGATACTCAGGAAGCGGGCACAGTTCTCATTCCCACTAGGTGTCGGGTTTCTAGAGAAGCCAATCGGTGCCGCCGCGGTCCCGGTTCTAAAGTCCCCACGCACCCACCGGGACTCAGATTCTCCCCAGACGCCGAGGATGGTGCTCATGGCGCCCCGAACCCTCCTCCTGCTGCTCTCAGGGGCCCTGGCCCTGACCCAGACCTGGGCGCGTGAGTGCAGGGTCTGCAGGGAAATGGTCGGGAGGAGCGAGGGGCCCGCCCGGCGGGGGCGCAGGACCCAGGGAGCCGCGCAGGGAGGAGGGTCGGGCGGGTCTCAGCTCCTCCTCGCTCCCAGGCTCCCACTCCATGAGGTATTTCTACACCACCATGTCCCGGCCCGGCCGCGGGGAGCCCCGCTTCATCTCCGTCGGCTACGTGGACGATACGCAGTTCGTGCGGTTCGACAGCGACGCCGCGAGCCAGAGGATGGAGCCGCGGGCGCCGTGGATGGAGCGGGAGGGGCCGGAGTATTGGGACCGGAACACACAGATCTGCAAGGCCCAGGCACAGACTGAACGAGAGAACCTGCGGATCGCGCTCCGCTACTACAACCAGAGCGAGGGCGGTGAGTGACCCCGGCCCGGGACGCAGGTCACGACCCCTCCCCATCCCCCACGGAGGGCCGGGTCGCCTCGAGTCTCTGGGTCCGAGATCCTCCCCGAAACCGCGGGACCCCGAGACCCTTGACCTGGGAGAGGCCCAGGCGCCTTTACCCGGTTTCATTTTCAGTTTAGGCCAAAATCCCCGCGGGTTGGTCGGGGCAGGGCGGGGCTCGGGGGACCGGGCTGACCGCGGGGGCGGGGCCAGGTTCTCACACCATGCAGGTGATGTATGGCTGCGACGTGGGGCCCGACGGGCGCTTCCTCCGCGGGTATGAACAGCACGCCTACGACAGCAAGGATTACATCGCTCTGAACGAGGACCTGCGCTCCTGGACCGCGGCGGACATGGCAGCTCAGATCACCAAGCGCAAGTGGGAGGCGGCCCGTCAGGCGGAGCAGCTGAGAGCCTACCTGGAGGGCGAGTTCGTGGAGTGGCTCCGCAGATACCTGGAGAACGGGAAGGAGACGCTGCAGCGCGCGGGTACCAGGGGCCACAGGGCGCCTCCCGGATGGCCTGTAGATCTCCGGGGCTGGCCTCCCACAAGAAAGGGAGACAAATGGGACCAACACTATAATATCGCCCTCCCTCTGGTCCTGAGGGAGAAGAATCCTCCTGGGTTTCCAGAGAGTGACTCTGAGGGTCCGCCGTGCTCTTTGACACAATTAAGGGATGAAATCTCTGAGGAAATGAAGGGAAGACAATCCCTGGAATACTGATGAGTGGTTCCCTTTGACACTGGCAGCAGCCTTGGGCCCCGTGACTTTTCCTCTCAGGCCTTGTTCTCTGCTTCACACTCAATGTGCCTGGGGGTCTGAGTCCAGCTCTTCTGAGTCCCTCAGCCTCCACTCAGGTCAGGACCAGAAGTCGCTGTTCCCTCCTCAGGGACTAGAATTTTCCACGGAATAGGAGATTATCCCAGGTGCCTGTGTCCAGGCTGTTGTCTGGGTTCTGTGCTCCCTTCCCCACCCCAGGCGTCCTGTCCATTCTCAAGATGGCCACATGCGTGCTGGTGGAGTGTCCCATGACAGATGCAAAATGCCTGAATTTTCTGACTCTTCCTGTCAGACCCCCCCAAGACACATATGACCCACCACCCCATCTCTGACCATGAGGCCACCCTGAGGTGCTGGGCCCTGGGCTTCTACCCTGCGGAGATCACACTGACCTGGCAGCGGGATGGGGAGGACCAGACCCACACACGGAGCTCATGGAGACCAGGCCTGCAGGGGATGGAACCTTCCAGAAGTGGGCGGCTGTGGTGGTGCCTTCTGGAGAGGAGCAGAGATACACCTGCCATGTGCAGCATGAGGGTCTGCCAGAGCCCCTCACCCTGAGATGGGGTAAGGAGGGAGATGGGGGTGTCATGTCCCTTAGGGAAAGCCGGAGCCTCTCTGGAGAGCTTTAGCAGGGTCAGGGTCCCTCACCTTCCCCCCTTTTCCCAGAGCCATCTTCCCAGCCCACCATCCCCATCGTGGGCATCGTTGCTGGCCTGGTTCTACTTGTAGCTGTGGTCACTGGAGCTGTGGTCGCTGCTGTAATGTGGAGGAAGAAGAGCTCAGGTAAGGAAGGGGTGAGGAGTGTGGTCTGAGATTTCTTGTCTCACTGAGAGTTCCAAGCCCCAGGTAGAAGTGCCCTGCCTGGTTACTGGGAAGCACCATCCACACTCATGGGCCTACCCAGCCTGGGCCCTGTGTGCCAGCACTTACTCTTTTGTAAAGCACCTGTTACAATGAGGGACAGATTTATCACCTTGATGACTGTGGTGATGGGACCTGATCCCAGCAGTCACAAGTCACAGGGGAAGGTCCCCGAGGACAGACCTCAGAAGGGCGGTTGGTCCAGGACCCACATCTGCTTTCCTCATGTTTCCTGATCCCGCCCTGGGTCTGCAGTTGCACATTTCTGGAAACTTCTCTGGGGTCCAAGACTTGGAGGTTCCTCTAGGACCTTATGGCCCTGGCTTCTTTCTGGCATCTCACAGGACATTTTCTTCCCACAGATAGAAAAGGAGGGAGCTACTCTCAGGCTGCAAGTAAGTATGAAGGAGGCTGATCCCTGAAATCCTTTGGATATTGTGTTTGGGAGCCCATGGGGGAGCTCACCCACCCCACAATTCTTCCTCTAGCCACATCTACTGTGGGATCTGACCAGGTCCTGTTTTTATTCTACTCCAGGCGGCAACAGTGCCCAGGGCTCTGATGTGTCTCTCACGGCGTGAAAGGTGAGACCTTGGGGGGCCTGATGTGTGGGGGGTGTTGGGGGGGAACAGTGGACACAGCTGTGCTATGGGGTTCTTTGAATTTGATGTTTTGAGCATGCGATGGGCTGCCAAAGTGTCATCCATTACTGGGACAGATATGAATTTGTTCATGAATATTTTTTCTATAGTGTGAGACAGCTGCCTTGTGTGGGACTGAGAGGCAAGATTTGTTCACACCTTCCCTTTGTGACTTGAAGAACCCTGACTTTCTGCAAAGGCACCTGAATGTGTCTGTGTTCCTGTAGGCATAATGTGTGGAGGAGGGGAGACCAACCCACCCTCATGTCCACCATGACCCTCTTCCCCACGCTGATCTGTGTTCCCTCCCCAATCATCTTTCCTGTTCCAGAGAGGCGGGGCTGAGATGTCTCCATCTTTTTCTCAACTTTATGTGCACTGAGCTGTAACTTCTTACTTCCCTCTTAAAATTAGAATCTGAGTAAACATTTACTTTTTCAAATTCTTGCCATGAGAGGTTGATGACTTAATTAAAGGAGAAGATTCCTAAAATTTGAGAGACAAAATAAATGGAACACATGAGAACCTTCCAGAGTCCATGTGTTTCTTGTGCTGATTTGTTGCAGGGGAGGAGAATAGATGGGGCTGTGCCTAGTGGGTGCTCAGGCCAGTATGGACTTTATGTGGTCACTGCTCAGCTGGGTCATCTTTGCTCCTTCATTCTCCTTGGCCCTTCAGTAGAACCTTGTCCCACCACCACCTGTGATCACAGGGAGTTGGATGTCACCTAGGGTGGTCCCTGCATACAAATCTCATTGTGGTATCAAGAGACTAATTTTCAGACCTGTCCAGCTCTTGCCCTCCTCCCAGGGCTCTTTCCTGGATTGTAGTTTTCATCTTGTCTCCAATCTTTTTAAAGGAAGCAGATTCTGAAATTTGCAGAGAGGAGGGGTCCCATAGTTTCTCATCATAGTGAACTTTCTGTTGGAGCTCCTCTTCTGCTCTCCTACTCTTCTTCCTGCCCTGAGTTGTAGTAATCCTAGTGCTGGCTCCAATCCAAACTCATGGATTTACAAAGCAGAGTCTAATTTAGATTCATACGTGGTTGGAAAATTGTACCCATAAGCCTAGGGTTATCTTTCCTGAAGAGAAAAATATGGTTGTGTGCTGCAGTGTGCAGGAGGGTTGGTGTGGGAGGAGGTAGGGAGGGAGGGAGGACACACAAGCAGTCCTGGTGAGAAAAGCACTGGCGGCATCGATGTCCACATGAGATGATGTTGTTCTTTAGCTGCCACAAAACAGCATTTGCCCTGAGGCTACCTTAACAAAGATATTGGCTTTAGAATAGAGAAGTGCTCTACAGTGATCATTCATTCAACTGACATTTGTTGTCTGCTAGGGATATGACTGCTTTTGCGTTTAGAAAGCATCATTAAGGTGAAAACAGAAAAATTTCTGGTGTTGTGGTACATATGTTCTAGATGCTAGCTTGTCTAACCCGTAGCTCGCAGGCTGAATGTGGCCCAGGACAGTTTTGAATGTGAGGAGTTTTTGCTTTTCTGTGGCGGACCTGAGACCTGGAGTGAGTGCACCCACCTCCCTCAGGATCAGGAGTGAATGCTTTAGGAACCCTCCTTTGCAGCGACCTGCAAAAGATAGAGGGCACGGTTACTGTGAGAACCCAGAGTAGCAGCCAAAGGGGCTCAACCTTCATGGAGTTTTGGGAAAGGTTAGTAAAAGGTGGTGTCCCAGCGTCAGAACAGATGGGCAGCCAGCGAGGGCACTGCTTCATATCTATGATGGGAATGCAAGAATTGAGGAGCAGGAGACTGAGGGTGTTTGATCAAATACAAAGTCATGATCCCAGTCTCAATTCCTAGACTTCAGCCAAGCTTCAGATTCAGAATCTACAGTGGGGCTTAAGGAGGCCAGGAAATAAACCTGGACACATTATGGCCCACTGTGGGACCACTGGGTTCATAAACCCAGTCCTGGTTATCTCCCCATTCTCCACATGCATAATTGGCCTTGATGCACTGGCAAAGGGAGTCACCCCCACACTACATCCCTAGTCTGAAGAGTAAGGGCTATCATTGTGCTGAAGCCCAAAGGGAATCATCTAAAACTTCCCTCATCCCAGCCAAGCCAGAAGCAATATTGCGCCCCAGGTGGGACTTCAGGAGGGTACTGCAGGTATTGTAGGGGTGGCACTGCCATTAGAGAGCTGAAGGATGGGGGGTGGTGTTGGGATTGCCTATTATCTCCATATAATTCAGCAGTCTGTCCCTGAAGAAGCCTGATAAAGAATGAATGGAATTACTCCAGACTTGACCAAGTAGGAGTCCTGATTGCAGCTGCCATGCTGGCTGGATATCACTGCTTGGGGAGATTAATAAGGCCTCAGGCACATGGCAAACAGCCATGCATTTGGTGAGTGCATTCTTTCCCATTCCATTTAGAAAATGGATATGGAATGATTCACATTCACATGGGATTTATAATACATTTATTGATAGCTTGCCTCAGGGCTACTTTAACTCCTCAACCTTCTATAAATATCACCTTAAGAGATCTGGACAAATCAGACATCTCACAGAATACTAAATCTCTTCATTTCATTGGCAATATCACATAGATTGGGATGGATGAGTAAGAGGAGGAAAGTACGCTGAATTCTTTGGCAAAACGTGTGCACTACAGAAGGTGAAGATTAACCTTACAGAGCTTCAAGAGTGGCCACTGCAGTGAAGTGTTATGGGTCCAGTGGTTAGGGGCATGCAGGGCTGTCCCCTCCAAAGTAAAAGACAAACTTGCATCTTGCATCCTCAACAGAAGGAAGGAAGCACACTATTTGGTGAGCTTCTCTGGGTCCTGGCAACACCACATTCCACATCTAAGTATATTGTTTGGCCCACTGTCTGGGTATAATATAGGAAGAGGTCAGCTTTGAGTGCGGACTAGACAGGAAAGGACACTGCAGCAGATCCAGGCGGTGGTGTACCAGGTCATCAACTCTCAGTCCCCTGGTGCTGGGGGTGACAGCGTGGGGAAAGATGCTAGATGGAGCTGAACCAAGCAGCTGAGATCAAGTGAGCTGAGATCCCGCCCCTACACTCCAGCCTGAGCAACAAGAGTGAAACTCCATCTCAAAAAGAAAAAAAAATTAAAAGGATAAGCACCCTCCCACATCAGAGATAACTCCCCAACACATAATATACATGCGGTGTGAGTTCTCTGTATGGGGAAGTTAAAAAAATACAGGTCAAACTGTGATTTGGGTATTATTGTAAAAATCTTCAGTGACAATGCCAAGGAATAGCAAATACAAGACTCAAGACATAGGTTCCTTTTAGGGGATAGGATTGGACAACAGCCTAGGGTGGCTTCATAGGTTCTGTTTCTTATGCCAGGAGGGGATATCCAGGTAGTTAGTTACTTGATCATAAAACTTTATTTATTTATTTATTTATTTATTTATATATTTTGAGTCTCGCTCTTGTTGCCCAGGCTGGAGTACAGTGGCATGATCTCAGTTCACTGCAACCTCCGCCTCCCAGGTTCAAGGGATTCTCCTGCCTCAGCCTCCTGAGCAGCTGGGATTGCAGGCAAATGCCACCACTCCCAGCTAATTTTTGTATTTTTAGTAGAGACGGGCTTCACCATGTTGACCAGGTTGGTCTGGAACTCCTGACCTCAGGTGATCCACCCACTTCAGCCTACCAAATTGCTGAGATTACAGGCATGAGCCACCACTCCTGGCCCACAAATCTTTAAAGTGGTATTTTTCAAAATGCACCTTGTGTGCCATTCCTGATTGATTATTTGGAAATGAAAGAGAAAAGAAAATGCCAAAGTTCATCACAAGCATCCTTTGCGATAACTACTCGTAGTAAAACAAAGCCGCAGCTGGCCGGGCACGGTGGCTCACTTCTGTGATCCTAGCACTTTGGGAAGTCGAGACCTGTGGATCACGAGATCAGGAGTTCGAGACCAGCCTGACCAACATGGTGAAACCTCGTCTTTACTAAAAATACAAAAATTAGCTGGGCGTGTTGGTGCGTGTCTGTAATCCAAGCTACTCAGAAGGCTGATGCAGGAGAATCGCTTGAACCTGGAAGGCAGAAGTTGCAGTGAGCTGAGATCCTGCCATCGCACTCCAGCCTGGGTGACAGAGCCATACTCCATCTCAAAACAAACAAACAAACAACCACAAAAAACAAGCCACAGCCAATTTTAAGGAGCCATGTGAGAGGACCAGGATGCCATGAAAAACAGCCTTGGCTACAAATAGGTCATTTGATCCTTGGCTAGTTGGCAACTCTCTACATTTTCTGATACACAGTGTTCAATCTGATAGGTAAGGCAATAGTATCTTGCAAAGAATTTGAGAATTTGATATGTTGCTCACATTTTACCACACATACAAGTGAATTAAACTTTTACAGAATAGAAAAAAAGCATTGTTGAGCAAAATAAATTAAATGAAAAGACATAAATGAATAACTAGTGATGAAATAGCAATAAGAATGGAAAACACGAAAGAGCTGCTTTTAAAGCAACATTAGAAGCACAAAATAACAGTGTTTTTCAGAATCATACTGGAGTCCAAATCACTTCTACCACATCTAATTAAAAACCACAGTGAAAGATGTTAAACTGATCACAGGATGCCCACTGAATAGCCAGTTACTGAAAAATCTTGTTCCTAGATTGAATTTAACCATTTCCACCTACCACATCAAACCAAATCATTGTCATGATGCTAAGCCAGTTGTACAGACAAAGATGTGAGACTCACATTTTTCTAATTGCAAAGCACCCTGATTAGGCAAATATTTTTGTAGATGCTTGAGTCAGAAAATTGTCATTTTGGGCATTCTTTTTTTTTTTTTTTTTTTTTTTTTGCCTTCAAGCATCTGTTTAACAAAGCACATCTTGCACCGCCCTTAATCCATTTAACCCTGAGTGGACACAGCACATGTTTCAGAGAGCAGGGGGTTGCGGGTAAGGTTATAGATTAACAGCATCCCAAGGCAGAAGAATTTTTCTTAGTACAGAACAAAATGGAGTCTCCTATGTCTGCTTCTTTCTACACAGACACAGCAACAATCTGATTTCTCTGTCTTTTCCCCACATTTCCCCCCTTTCTATTCGACAAAACCGCCATCGTCATCATGGCCCCTTCTCAATGAGCTGTTGGGTACACCTCCCAGACGGGGTGGCGGCCGGGCAGAGGGGCTCCTCACTTCCCAGACGGGGTGGCCGGGCAGAGGCGCCCCCCACCTCCTGGACGAGGTGGCTGGCCGGGCGGGGGCTGCCCCCCACCTCCCTCCTGGACGGGGCGGCTGCCGGGCAGAGACGCTCCTCACTTCCCAGACGGGGTGGCTGCTGGGCGGAGGGGCTCCTCACCTCTCAGACAGGGCGGCCGGGGAGAGACGCTCCTTACCTCCCAGACGGGGTGGCTGCTGGGCGGAGGGGCTCCTCACATCCCAGACAGGGCGGCGGGGCAGAGGCGCTCCCCACATCTCAGATGATGGGCGGCCGGGCAGAGACGCTCCTCACTTCCTAGACCGGATGGCGGCCGGGCAGAGGCTGCGATCTTGGCACTTTGGGAGGCCAAGGCAGGCAGCTGGGAGGCAGAGGTTGTAGCGAGCCGAGATCACGCCACTGCACTCCAGCCTGGGCAACATTGAGCACTGAGTGAGAGAGACTCCGTCTGCAATCCCGGCACCTCAGGAGGCCAAGGCTGGCAGATCACTCCCAGTTAGGAGCTGGAGACCAGCCTGGCCAACACAGTGAAACCCCGTCTCCACCAAAAAAATACGAAAACCAGTCAGGCATGGTGGTGCGCGCCTGCAATCCCAGGCACTCTGCAGACTCTAAATTATTCAACGCCTCAGACACTAACTTTCCAAGGAATAGGAGATTATCCCAGGTGCCTGTGGCCAGGAGGTGTCTGGGTTCTGTGCTCCCTTCCCCACCCCAGATGTCCTATCCATTCTCAGGATGGTCACATGGGTGCTGCTGGAGTGTCCCATGAGGAATGCAAAGTGCCTCAATTTTCTTACTCTTCCCTTCAGAATCCCAGAATACATGTGTGATCCACTACCCCATCTCGGACCATGAGGCCGCCCTGAGGTGCTGGGTCCTGGGCTTCTACCATGTGGAAATCACAGTGACCCAACTGTGGGATGGGGAGGACCAAATTTAGGACGCAGAGCTTGTGGGGACCAGACCTGCAGGGTATAGAACCTTCCAGAAGTGGGCAGCTGTGATGCTGTCTTCTAGAGACAAGTAGAGATACACATGCCATGTGCAGCAGGAGGCACTGCCAGAGCCCCTCACACTGAGATGGGCTAAGGAGATGAATGAGGGGCCATGTCTCTTCTCAGGGAAAGCAGGAGCCCTTCTGGAGGCCTTCAGCAGGGTCAGGGCTGAGGCCTGGGGGTCAGGACCCCTCACGTTCCCCTCCTTTCTTAGGGCCATCTTCCCAGCCCACATTCCTCATCATGGGCATCGTTACCGTCCTGGTTGTTCTAGGTGCTGTGGTCACTGCTGTGATGTGGAAGAATAAGACCCCAGGTAGGAAAGGGGTGAGTTCCAAGATTTCTTCTTCCATTCGTGGATTTCAAGCTCCAGATGGAAGTTGGCTCATTTCCTGCCTAGTTGTGAGACACCATCTCCACACACATTTACCCTGTTCAGATGCCCTGTCAACTCTCACTCTTTTGTAAAGCACCTGTGAAATTGAAGGACAAATTTATCACCTTGATTGTGATCATGGGAACCTGACTCCCAGCAGTCACAAGTCAGGAGAATGTTCCTGCTGAGGACAGATGTCAAAAGGACATTTGGTTCAGCTTCAACACATCCTCTTCCCTCGGGTTTTCTGATCCTGACCTGGGTCTGCAGTCACAGTTCTGGAAACTCCTCTAGGATCTCATGGCCCTGCCTCTTCCCTGGCCTCTCACAGTTTGTTTTCTTTCCTCATATGGAAAAGGAGTCAGCTATGCTCAGGCTTCAAGTAAGTGTGGTAGGGGTGGGAGAGTGATTCCTGAGATCCTTGGAATAGTGTAGACAGGAGCCCATGGGGGAGGTCACCACCCCACAATTCCTCCTTTAGTCACATCACCTGTGGGCTCTGACCAGACTTTGTTTTTGTTCCACCCCAAACAGGAACAGTACCCAGGGCTCTGATGTGTCTCTCAAGTCTTGTAAAAGTGACACCTTAGAGGGCCTGAAGTGAAGGAGGAGTTGGGGCAGATGGGACACAACTAGGCTCTAGAGAGTCTTTGATTTGGAATTTTTCAATGTGTGGTGGGCTGTTCAGTGTCACCACTTACCATGACTGACTTGAATTTGTTCACGAATATTTTCTTTCCAAGACTGCCTTGTGAGGGACTGAGATGCAAGATTTGTTCATGGCTCCACTTTGAGACTTCAAGGGCCTCTGTTTTCTCTTTCTGCCAAGGCATCTGAATGTGTCTATGTCCCTGGTAACATGTGAGAAGTGGAGAGACCAGCCCACCCTCATGTCCACCATGACCCCTGATATTGTTTGGATCTGTGTCCCCACCCAAATCTCATGCTCACTTGTAATCCCTAATGTTGGAGGTGGTGCTTGGTGGGACGTGATTGGCTCATGAGGATGGATGATTCATGAATGGTTTAGAATCATCTCTTTCATGCTGTTCTTGTGATAGTTCTTGGAGGCATTGTGCCACCTCCCTAGGGATCTGTGGAACTTTAAACTTGAGAGTGATGATTAAGGGTATCTGATGGAAGAAATTTCTCAGTAGCATAGAATTCAGGATTTGGTCTGGCTGCCTGTAATAGCCTATGTGCATATGTGTGAGCAAAGAAATGACCCAAAACTGGAACTGATATTTAAATGGGGAAATTTAATACCCAGGAAAATTCTTAGCGGAGCTGCAGCAACAGGACCCCTGCCAGGACTACTAAATGGTAGAGCCACTGGCTATGTGCAACCTCAGCCTGGAAAAGCCATAGGCATTCAATTTTCTCCCATGACAGCAGCTATATGGGTTATGTTCAGCAAAGCCATAAATGTGGAGCTGCAAATGGCATTAGGAGCCCAGCAGTTGCACCAGCCACTGTGCTCTGGATTCAAAATATAGAGTCAAAGGAGATTCTTTTAGACCTTTAAGTTTTAATGTCTGCCATGATGAGTTTCAATCTTATGAGGAAACTGCATTCATTTCTTTTGGCCCATTTATATACCTTTTGGAATGGAAATGTACAAGAAATGTCTCTTCCACTGTTTTATTAATATTTTAGATGCAAATAACATTTTTTAAAAAAATTTTACAGGCTCAAAGCTATAAGAATTTACCTTGCGTCTCAGATGAGACTCTAGAATTTTGAGTTGATGCTGGAACAACCTAACACATTTGGGACAATTGGGAGTAGATTATTATATTTTGCAATGTGAGAAGAACATGACCTTTGGCTGGCTAGGGAGGGGATGCAATGATATAAACATTTATCCCCTGATACCTCATGTTAAAATCTAACGCCCACTGTGGGACTTGGGGCCTAATGGCCACCATTTGGGTCATGGTGACCAATCTTTTATGAATCGAGAGATACTGCCCTCTCTCAGGAATGAATGAATTGTTGCTCTATTATTTTCCAAGAGAGCTAGTTGTTAAAAAGACCCTGGCAACTTCCTACTCTCTGTGTTCCTCTGTTACCATGTGATCTCTGCATATACCAGCTCCCCTTTGTCTTCTGCCATGAGTGGAAGCAGCCTGAGGCCCTCACTAAATGCGCAAACATTTCCAGACATCAGAATCTTGAGCCACATGAACCTCGTTTATATAAATTAGTCAGTCTCAGACATTTCTTTATAGCAACACAAAATGGAAAAAGATAACCCTCGCATCACAGGTATGTGTCTCTGGCAGCTAGCCACCGTTCTTAAGATATCCAGGATCCACTCAGCCAAGAGTCTTCTCATCAGTACTCTAAAGACACTCTTATCACTCAAGAGAGTCTAAGGTTTTTAGGAGAAACCAGGGACAAAGACTAAATGTTTTTGTGATAACTCAGATTGCCCACTTTTCTTTGACCACATATCTTTTACAGGAAAAAGGATTGTAACAGTAAAGAGGTATTGGCATATTATCAGAGTCTCATCCATTCATTCAAAATTAGGCCAGTTTATCATCCTCTTGTATGAATATGTCTCCCAGAATGAAATCACTCAGCTTTGCTGACAACACTCAATCTTACCAGGTTCCAAAAACAAGGATGGTCTCAGGGACATACAGCTTCACTCTTTTAGGCATCCCGTATAATTGACCTAAGTGACAATATCTTCTCTTGCTCACACCACCTTTGAGGAGTTAAGCTAATATTGAATTTTTCTCATTATATAACCCTTTGATTTATTCACTTACCCTCAGCCACTATTCCTCCCTCTGTCCTTTTATATCAGTTGTTTCCAGGTTTGGGAGTGACATTAGGTTTGTCTGCTGGGCTGGCCTAGACTGCAGGCAGCAATAGTATTCTAGCATGTCTTCCCTCAGTCTAGTCTTGATCATAGAGGGTAGGTTATATAGGTAAGGAACTAGTGGGGGCTATCAGACCACCAGGCTATATAACTCTACTTACTGTTAATCCTAACTTTTCAGATGAAATGAATACTTGAGAATTCTTACATAAAGGTGTAAAAATATAGTTATGGTTTTTCGCTTAGGGATAATTCCTGTTTCTGGCACTTTTATTTACATCCCTATTCCTGGTACTATGGCATAACATATGAAAAAATAAATTTGAGGTGAAGTGTAGTCTTTATTCCAGCATCCTCTCCCCTTCAGAAGAATTGTATGTATCGTCGTAACAGCATCGTCCTGATCCATCAGGTAAAAGAGAGGATGCTACCTAGTGGAGTTATTCTTGCAGCCCCACTCATGTTGACAGCGAGCACATTCATGAAGATATAAAAGCCAGTCCTTCATGTTTATATTGCCCAACAATTAGATTGGCAGTTTTTAGACAAACAATGTTTCAATTGACCATTTCAATTTTCTATCAAATTTTCCCCTGAGGAGGACATGTCCCTCTGCATTGTTGGCCGTTTGAGGCTGTAAAGTGTGTTTTCTTGTGTAAAGAAGTGTGACTCGGCAGTCCAAATTGGTGCAACCTCTTCTTTTCTGGTCCTTGTATAGCCCTTGAAGCATTGACATCTACCCCTGGTTGAGCATAGCCCAATCCAGAGTCAGTGATTTTCCTGTCAAGATCCATTGGCAGCTCCTTTGGGGTTGCTGGCATCATTCTGGCTTGCCAGGTATTATGATCAAAGCCTTCCCACTAGAGAATCTGTCACATCTCCATCTGCTGCCTCTGTCTGTTTTCTTGACCAACAGTGAAAAAAGAGATTATGAGAAATAAGATAAATTACCAAAATTGTGAACAAAAGAGATTATCACTAATGACCCTTAGGAAGTTAAAAAACATTATAAGTGAATACTCTGAAAAACCTGAAGCCAATAAGTTAGACCACTTAGATAAAAAGGACCAATTCGTGCAGAGATAGAAATTGCCAAAACTGACCCAAATTAACTGGAAAACCTGAAGAGAACTGTGAACTAAGTCAGAAATTGAAAAACCTTCTCAAAAAGAAATGCCAAAGCCCAGATATCTTCACTGGTGAATTCTATCAAATATTTTGAAAGCTCTTTCAGACAAGAAGAGAGGAGGGAAGACTTTCCAGCCCATTTACAGAACTGGCATTACCCTCATATCAAAGTCACAGCAAGACTCACAGGAAAAGAGTGCCATACACCAGTGTCACCAATAAACATAAATGAAAACATCCTTAACAAACATTGGCAGATAATACAAAGCCACATAAAAAAGGATTACACTCCATGACCAATGGGATTCATCCCAGGAACATATGGTTGGATTAACATTTGAAAATCAATTCATGGAATGCACTGTATTAATGGAAAAAAAGACATAATTATCTCAAAAGATGCAGAAGAAACAGTTGACAAAAATGTTAACATCACTCATGTTCATAAGTTTCAACAAAATAGGAATGGAGGAGACCTTCTTCACTCTGATAAAGCGCATCTATAAAAAACCCACAGCTAAAATCAAACTTAATGAAGAAAGACTGAAGACTGAATGCTTTTCTCCTAAGATGGGGATCAATGCAAGGATGTCCAATCCCACCACTTTTATTTAATATTATACTGGAGATTGTAGCCAGTGCAATAAGGCAGAAAATTAAAAATTAAAGGCATCCAGATAAAAAGGAAAACATACAATTCTATTCACAGATAACATGACCCTGTCTGTAGAATTCACAAGCAGATAAAAACTGGCTAGCACTAATAAATGAATCCAGAAGGGCCCATAGGATATCAAATCAATATAAAAATTAATTATTAACATATTTCTCTATAGAAGCAATGAAAATCTCAACTTTCCTATCACAGTAGTTACCAGAAGAGCGAAATAGGAATAAATTTAGGAAGACAGCAGTGTTTGTTCACTGAAAATAAAAAAACATTCCTCAGAGAAATTAAAGGTCTAAATAAATGGAGAGATGCGAGTTGGAAAGCTCGATAATACTGTTAAGATGGCAATTCTCCCCCAGTAGATCTATAGGTTCAACACAATCCCTATCAAAATCCCAGCAGGGATTTTATAGAAAATTGACAAAATAAGCCGGGCGCGGTGGCTCATGCCGGTAATCCCAGCACTTTGGGAGGCTGAGGCAGGCGGATCATGAGGTCAGGAGATCCAGACCATCCTGGCTAACACGGTGAAACCCCATCTCTACTAAAAATACAAAAAACTAGCCGGGCGTGGTGGCGGGCTCCTCGGGAGGCTGAGGCAGAAAAATGGCATGAACCCGGTAGGCGGAGGTTGCAGTGAGCGGAGATCATGCCACTGCACTCCAGCCTGGGTGACAGAGCGAGACTCCGTCTCAAAAAAAAAAAAAAAAGAAAAAAAGAAAAGAAAATTGACAAAATAATCCTAAAAATGTATATTAAAATGCAGAGGATGCAGAAGGGCCAACACAAATTTGAAAAAAAAAATGGAATGTCATATGAAACTACAATAATCCAGACAGTGTGAAACTGAGAGACATAGAGATCAATGAACAGAAGTGAGAATCTAGAAAGATATTCTTACTTTCTTTGTCAATTGATTTTCAATGAAGTTGCATAGGTAACACAATGTTACATTTAACACCATATAAAATATCAGCTCAGACAAATTAGAGACCTAAACAGCTAAAATTTATGAGTTAAAACTATAAAATTTCTAAAAGAAAACACAGGAGAAAATTTTTATTACTTTGGGTAGTTAGGCAAAAGATTCTTAGATAAAATACCAAAAGCATGATCTACAAATAAAAAAAAAAGAGAGAGAGAAATTGGGCTTAGTTAAAATTTAAAACTTGAGTGCTCCAAAAGACATTGAGAGAATGAGAAGACAAGCCATAGACAGGGAGAAAATATTTCACAATTTATCACAAATTACATTTGTGTTGAAGAACATGTTTCCAGAATAATGTGGCAAGTTCTTAAACTCAATGTGTAAGAAGATGAGCAACTCAACTGAAAATGAGCAAAACACACAAATATGCTCAACTGACATTTACAAAAGCACAAACACAATTCAATGAAGGAAGGAGAGCTTTCCCAACAAATGGTGCTGGAGCAACTGGACAACCACAGTGGAAAAAAAATAGGCTGAGCCCAAACCTCACGCTTTATACAAAAAAAAAAAAACTCAAAATGAATCACAGGCTTTAATGTAAAACACAACACACAGTTAAAATTACAAACATTGAGCCAGGTGTGGTGTCACAGGCCTGTACTCTCACCTACTCAGGAGACTGAGGTGGGAGGATCCCTTGAGCCCAGGAGTTCAAGGCCAGCCTAGGCAAGATTTTTTTTTAAATAAATAACAAATACATTAAAAAATTAAAATTACAAATCTTTTAACAAAAAGCCATCAGAACTAAGACTAGACAAAGAGTTCTTACACATAACACCAAAAGTATGATCTGTAAAAGAAAAAGTTACTAAACTGGATCTTATCAAAATTAAAACTGTTGCTCTGTGAGAGACCTATGAAGAGCATAAAAAGACAAGCTACAGAATGAGAGAAGATATTTGCAAACCACATATTCAATAAAGACTTGCATTCACAATATATGAAGAAATGTAAAAACTCAACAGTAAAAATGAAATCCAAATAAACAATAGGCAATGAGCAAGACATGAACAGACGTTTCACTGAAGAGGATAAACACCAGGCTAACAAACAGATGAAAAGACACTCAACATCACTATCCAGTAGGAAAATACAAATCAAAACTGCAGTGATGAGAATGGCTGAAATACAAAATAAAGGTAGCAACAGATGCTGGCAAGGTTACAGAGAAACTGGATCATTCATATTGCTGGTAGGAATGGATTTTAAAATGGTACAGCCACTCTGGAAATGGATATTGCAGTTTTCTTCAAACTGAACATGCAATTTACCATATGACTAGAAATTGCCCTCCTAGGCACTTATTTCAAACAAGGGAAAACTTTATGTTCATGAAAAACCTGTATACAAATACTCTTGCAGCTTTATTCATAATACTCCTGGAAGTAATTATTCATAATTACTTCCATAAACTGGAAATAATGCAATTGTCTTTCAGTGGGTGAAGGAGATCTGCTGGTTGAACTCATAACTGAGTCTACACAAGTGCCCTTTCTCAAGACTACTATCCTGCTTCTCTTTGCATATCTCCCATTTTCTCACAAAGAATATTAAAGACATGTACTCAAGGATCAAAATTTAATGAACATAAATATTTTACTGCTCCATCAAAGGCATTCTTAAATGGGACTGCAGTTTGGAGCCACTGCCTTGGTTCTGCTAAGGTGCTGGGTGTGCTACCGACCTTGGCATTTGCAGCATTAATGGAAAAGTCAACATAATGAAACAGGCAAATGGCATCTTGGTATTACTGTGAAAACAGGTTTCCCTCCAGGACTCTCTGAAGGCAGCTCAGGGGGCCACACTTTCAAAATGGCAGAGATCAATTATAGTTCCTAGTGAGACCCAACCCCTAGCCTATTCAGATTCAGCACTCTCTCTCGCTCTTTTTGTTCCCTCATTCTTCCAACTTATAATTGTATATATTTTCAAATGTGCAAAGAAGCTGAAAGAATAGTGCAGTAAAATTCAAGTTATCACTCTGATATATCTGATTAATATCTCTTTATATGCATGAAAGCAGCGTGTGGAATGATAGACAATAGAGACCCAGAAGGGTAAGAGTGGTTGGCAGTGGGTGTATCGTAGAGGAGTTTCTTGTTGGGGTCAATGTATCTGTCTCCAGTGGTGGATGCACTGAAGGCCCTGACTTTGCCACAACTCAATATAGCAATGTAGCAAAACTGCACCTGTGCCCCATGAATATATACGAATTTAAAAATTTAAAAATAAAATAACATCTCTCTTTGTAGATACAGGTAGACATGTTTGCATAGCATGTGTGTGAATGTGTGTGTATGTGTGTGTAGAGAGGCAGCAGGAATGAAGAGATTAAGATTTTGTGACTGAGCCATTCTAAAGTAACAAACATAAAACACGCATGGATAAATGTCTATGTGACAACAAACCTGAATATAAACATGAAAGAACATGTCTATAAACATATCTCTGGCTAGATAACCTATGAAAGAATTCCCTACCCCAGCTCCCTTACTGGTTACCCTGCGAACACAGGCAGGCAGGGAACAGGACCCAACTAGGTTCCCTCATCCTCTTGCTTCCAGGCAGGTCCTGCATCCACTCCTGCTGCACAGAGGGCTCCCATCTCTGCCTTGGTCGGTTTCACAGGTGCTCCCCTAACTCTCTCTGCCACCACTGCCTTACCTGGGTGGAGCTGAGGCTGCCTTGACCAAGAACAGCACCACCCATCTGTGTGCCCCAAGACCAGGAAGTTAGGAGGAACCACGTAACAGAGTCAATAACTATCCCACCTCCCCAGTCAGTCTGAACTGATGGCGGGAGATGCTGATGCTTGCTTATCCTCATTCCCCGTTTATTTATTCTTCGTTAATTCAGTCCAAACTCCCCTCAGTCTGAACTGATGGCGGGAGATGCTGATGCTTGCTTATACTCATTCCCTGTTTATTTATTCTTCATTAATTCAATCCAAACTCCCCTCAGTCTGAACTGATGGTGGGAGATGCTGATGCTTGCTTATCCTCATTCCCCGTTTATTTATTCTTCATTAATTCAATCCAATCTCCCCAGCAGTCACTTCACCCAGGAAGCAGACTGACCTCTGCTCTTCATAATCAGGAAACCCCAAAGCACTCTCCATCACCTCCCTGATATCACCCTTCAGCTCTACATCATCACATGTGGGCTCTAACTCTGAAGGCAGGTGTCCTCCCACAGGGTCAACCCCTGAACATTGGCCCCAGATGTCTCCCCATCTCTTCCCAGCCCTTTCAGTACTGCTGTGAATCTGTCCCTCACTGAGAACTGGCGGGGCGATGTGGGGGAGGAGGGGAAATTTCTTGGTGCTGTGTCAAAGCATCAAGACAGACCTCTCCTTCTCTCCTGAACCTCACACTCTATCTCTTCCCAGACACTTGAAATAAAACGCAGACCAGAAATGTCTATTTAAGAGTCAACACAATTTCTTTTTCTAGACAAGTTTCTCTTATTCTCAGGGCTCAGCTATGACTGTGGGTGACCAAACAACTATTCACAAAGGACAGAACTCGCTTCAATGCCAGCTTATGAATCCACACCTTGCCACCTGCAGAGGTGGAAAAAGGCACCTAAATCCACGATCCAATAGTTCTTCCTGCCCTTAACTCCTCACACACATCTGGACACTTGGAGAGTGTGGAGGGCACCCAGGGTGCAGGGTGGCAGTGGAGGCCTTGGGAAAACTGGCCAGGAAGCCAAGATATGCACCTCAGGTGACTAAATTTTTTTACTGTTCTGCACTTGCTGGAGAATGACCCCAAAAGATAAGATCAATTTGTTGACTACCAACTTATTTGGCTGAGCCATGGACATGGAGCAGATGAGCATTGCCTTTACCTATGACATGCATGAGGATTCTGAGACCTACCTGCAGCAGTTAAGCCCCACACCCAGAGGGACACCCACTCTCCCACCTCCTTACTTTCTGTATCTTTTCACACTTTATATCCTCATCCTTCCCTCTGAGAGTCTTCCCTCTTTGGGTCTTCTAGTCCTATCCTACCCTCTATCCCCTTCCAGGTGGCACAGGGCTTGACCATCACATTTGTGTCAGGTGACAATAATGCCAGGATCCTCAGTATGGGCAGCATCGCTTTGAGGTCAGTGATAGTGAGCTGCCTGATGAGACAGACATCTCCTCCACAGTGAGTGCTGATGTCATGAAGCCCTTTAGTTCTTCCTAGTTCCTTAATATGTTTGTCTTCAATCCTGTCATGGGCACCTGATGCATAATGGACACTTGGCTGCTTCATGCACCCTGGTCTTTGATGCCGTGTTGGGATGTTTTTCTGACCGTTATGTGGGGTATCTGTTTTCTTTCATCATATTACATCTCTTCCCCCACTCCCAAGTCTGTCCTCTGAACCCACACAGTACACCAGCATCTGCATGTGTGCCGTGTGCTCCTGCCTCACTTTTTCCTTTTCATTCCTTATTCTCACCATGCCACATTTTCCCCTTAGTTGAACAGACACAGTAGGGGACTAGCCCATTCTGGCATGTGACCACGCTTCAGGAGGAGACTGCAGGTTGGGGGTGAAGGAGACTCTACTGACCCCACCCCTGACATCCTCTTCCCCCACCCCCTGGCTTCTGTCCTCTGCCTCAGCACCACTCCTGAACCCCCATTCCTGATTGTCAGAATTTTTAACATAACTAAAAATGAAACACAAGTGCATCTGCATTATGTGTGGGTGCTCTCTCCCTTTATTTTATTTGGGGTGAGGTTATTTTAGGGCATGGCCCAGGGTAAATTCCTGTAAGGCCTTGGTGCCCTGCTGTGAGGTCAAAGAGGGATGGGACTAAGACTGCAGAGCCCTGGCTCCCCCACTACCTGCCAATTGCCAGCCCTTTGTGGGGTCTCTTCTGCTTTCTCTGGCCTGGGAGATGCTGGGGTGTTTCTGATCCTGGGGCTCCTGGGGGTGGTGCACATTAGTTCCAGGCATGGAGGGTGCTGTGGGCACTGCTGGGAAGCTTGGGTGTCCCCTCCCAGGCTCTCTCCTCCCAGGCTCTCTCAGTGCCTCCTCATCTGTTTCTTTAGCTTTTGGATCTTGAGCACCAGGGCCTGGGCCCCCACCGACTCCTTCCCTTCCAGGAGGGCCTGGTCCAGCTCCAGCTGCTGTGCAAGCAACTCCTCAGCTTGGGCCAGCTCAGCTGTGTGGGGGGCTCAGGGCCCTGGTCAGAGGGAGTGGAGGAGGGAGCATCAGCCAGGGTAGAGGGGTTGAGGCCCTTGGAACCTGTGTTGCAAGATCTCATGGTAAGTGAGGAATTCGACCTCGTTTTCTCTTTTTCCAGCCCATTAGCTTAAGTCCACCTGTAGTGAGAATCCCAGGGAGCAACCTGTCTTGGGCATAGGCCTCTGGAGGGCAGATACAGATCCCTGGCTCAGGGGCTATATCTGGATGCCTTGAATGAGGATATGGGGTCACCGGAAAGAGACAACCAGGTGTCTGTCCCCACTAATAAATGATTAACTGTTAGATGAGGGGGAATTCCTGTTCAAGGACTCTGGACTGTGCTGCTCTGGGCAGAGGGAGGGCTGGAGAGAGGGAGCCCTGAGGGCTGGGCTGGGGTGGGGGTGGAAGGAGCTGAGAGTTGGAAATAGGCAAAAAGCTGCAGAGGTGAGGGTAATGCAGGGTGGGATTGAGAGAATTTCCCCCGACTACTGTACTGATCCCTTCATCTCCTCCACCCGAGCACTTGGAGCCACATAGCGGGTGGCCTCATCTTCCCACTGTCCCAGAAGCTGTTCTGCCCTTCCATACTTGCCTTGGAGTTTTGGGAGCAGCATGTTTATGAGCCCTGGGGTGCCAGGGACCAGGAGGGCAGGAGGAGGTGAAGAAAACAGCACCGAGAGAGCCAGGGGAGTGGGAGGACTGTGGCAGGTGAGGCAAGGAGCTGTCTGAGCCGCTCAGCAGCCTTCAGGAGGCTCTCTCCAGGCCTGTCTTCACTCCAGTGCCTGGCCCTACCCAGGCCCCCACTCCCGCTCTGCTCTCAAGCTGGCCCCAGACAGGATCCCAAACAACTCCTGTTCCTAATGTGAAAAATGTTTCTGCCGCTTTAGGCAGAACTTGCTTTAGAGCACTGGCACAGCCTTCCGCAGGTCTTGTGTCTGATTCTCTTGGCACTGTGCCTTTTTTCACTTATTCTTCTGCAAGGAAGGAATTATATCACTGGTTGGGTGAGGCAACTGGCTCAGAGGGGTTCACTGAGCACTCACCCACTGGGCAAGTGTCTGTCAGGGCCAGCTATGGCCAAGATGTGTCCAAGGCTCTATAGCTAGCTGGTGGAAAGGCCTGGAGGGTTCATATTCAGGTCCACCTAACTTGAAAACTTATATTGACCTTACTTAAGTACTGATTCCCCCTTTATAATCCATGCCGCAAACTTCATTGTCTTATTTTAAGAAGTTGCCATAAGAGCCTTTAGCAACCACCCTCCTGATCAGCCAGCAGTCATCAACATTGAGGCAAGACCCTGCCCCAGCAAAAAGATTAAGATTAGCTGAAGCCTCAGATGATCCTTAGCATTTTTGAGCAATAGAGTAATTTTAAATTAAGGTATATACATAGTTCTTTTATACATAATGCTATCATACACTTAATAGGCTACAGTAGAGTGTGAATATAACTTTTCTATGCACTGGAAAAACAAAAATTTGTGTGACTTGTTTGTTGCCATGGTCTGAAACCAAATCTGCAGTGTCTCTGAGGTACGTCTGTAGTTTCCCTTTCCCTCTTCCTGCTGGCCCGGAATGACCTTGTTTCTTGCCCCTGTCTAGCCCTGCATGCTGCAGGGGTTTGCCTTCTCTGGTAGGTCTGGGAACTTTGCATCCTTGTAACCTTGGCTCCTGGCATATGACACTGGTACCAAGCTCTGTTGGACTAGTGAGCCTCCTCCCCACACACCTCCTGAACTAGAACCAAAGCTCTGTGCATGCACCGTGCATGTGTGAGCCAATGACAAGATGTTGTCTTCCTGCGAGTGTTCTGAAGGAGTGTTCTGTTGTGACTGGAGGACACAGCCACAGGCCCCCCAGGCAGAGGTGGCTCAGAAGGGAGTGGATGGCCCCGGTTTTGATCATCTGGGGACAAGAAGGTCCTGAGATAAAAACCCATGTTTTGGAAAACAAAACTGCCCGAGACTGAAAAGTGGCTAACCAATTCGCTATCTGGGACATCACTGCACACTGGGAGGGAAGATGGCTTCTGCCATGGTGTAGGGTCCCGGACCTAGACAAAGAGGCCTTCCTATGGCTCAGTGCTTCTGAAGCACCTTTAAATGAGGCCAAAGACCTCATGTTCATGATTAGCTGACTAGTTCCCACTCAGTGGAAAAAAAAACCCAGAACTTTTGCAAAATTTTAGGAGAGAGGGATTTCCCTCTTGTCTCTTAGTGCTACGGTTATGCATGACTCATACTTGAATTGCAGTGTGTACACAGCTTAAGGACTTAACTATTAGAATACAAGAGGCCCAAACTACTGTTGTTATAGATATGTAAAACTATATGGTATAAGGTTAAACAACCCACAACTAATTAACAGTGAAGATAAATTAACTACATTGCAAATTTAAAACAAGATTAGCAGCCCTTTAGAAAAAAAACAAAACACATGGGAGGTTGCAAAGGCAATCTAAATGATACTCTAATAAAAATCCTTCATGAAAATGACATTTCAACCCTCTGAGTTTCTGCTTTAAGTTATGAACTCCAAAATGGACTAACACCCAATAATTTACAGTAGGGAGGTCTAAGCCACCAAGAAAGGTGTCAGGGCAGACCTGAAACCTGGAATGAACACGCCCCCTCTCTCAGGGTAATGAGTAAATCCTCTAAGACCCGTTCTATCTCAGACAGACCATCCACTCATAAGGAGGTCAAAAGAAAGTTCCACACAGCACTGAGACCCAACCACCTCATTGTCCTCACCTCCACGGACAGAGCCCAGGTGAAGCCACCCCTGCTCCTCCTCCCTCATCTCCCACAGCCTCAGCACCATTGTCTGCGCTAAGTCCACCAGGACTCAGCTCATCATATCCTTTCCCTGTTTGTGTCAGTGACACTGGGTCCCCCACATACTCTGCACTCACATCCCCACAAGGCTCTGCACACCACTATTCTGTCTCCCCAACCTCCCAAACCACAGAAATCTTCCCAGTGCACCCCCTGGAATCTCAGTCAATGATCAACAAAACCTCCACACCCTCTCTCAGGATGTTCCTGCACCTCCCAGCTCCAGCAGCAACCTGGTCTCCCTGAGGACATGACCCCCTCTGAAGTCCTCCCACATAGGGGAGTTTCCCCCATGGACTTGTACCCCTGGGTTCAGAGGTGAGGTGGGGACCTTGCTCCTCACTGTGGTTCTCAGAACTTTCTGCCTCCCTCCTCCCTAAAACCCCTAGGCTGTCATCAGATTAGACCCCCATTCCCCTCATTGTAGCCATTCCCTGTGGGCCCCTGGCCTTTCCTCTCAATCCTGACTCTTGTAGCTCTTGGTTCACTGTCACCCTCTCCAGCAGTCTCCTTGACTGTTGGTGACTTCAACATGTGGTGGGCTGAGTAATGGTCCCGAAAGAGGTCCAGTCTTAGTCCTTGGAACCTGTGAACAGGTTGCATTACATGGCAAAAGGGACTTTACTCATGTAATGACGATTAAGGACCTTAAAATAGGGAGATTCTCCTGGACAATCTGTGTGGCCCCATTCAAATCAAATGAGCCACTAAAAGCAGAGAACCTGCCCTGGCTGGAGTCAGATTCTGCAGAGGAGGAAGGCAGAGGAGACATAGAAGAGGGGAGGTCAGACGTTCCAAGCAGGAGGATTGGATGTGCCTTAGGCACCATGTGTGAGTAGCTGAAAGAAGATTCTAGGAGCTAAGCATGGCTCTTAACAAGGAAGTGGAAACCTCTGTTCTATGTGCAAGGAAGTGAATTCAGACAAGAACCTGAATGAGCTTGGAAATGGATTCTTCCCCAGAGTCTCCAGGAGGGAACACAGACCTGCCCATACCTTGATCTTAGCCCCATAAGACTGTGTGGACTTGCAACCTACAGGACTGTAACATGATAATTAGGTGCTGTTTAAAGCCACTTGGTTTGTGGTAATTCTTATGGCAGCAATAGACACCTATACAGCAGAGAAGATGCCCTTGCTCCCTGGACTCTCAGATCCTGGAACTCCTCTCCTCCATGACCTTCTCCTCTCTCTGCCTGAATCTCATGCCCCTGTCATCCCCTAGGCCTCATCATGCCCAAGAACCCCAGCCCTTCCATACTCTCAATTTCACACTTCCCACTCTCTGGCCATCTTTCCACTCATCCCATGCAAGGTGGCCACAGGCTCTGAGGACACAGACTCTATCATTTTATCATATGCTGTGAGGTAATATCAGTGACTACTCATTGCATATGTGCCTGCATTCCAGGCTTGAAGTCCACCCTTTAGCACATCAATTCCAACAATCCTTCGACCCCCACCCTGGGAATACCAATCCAGTGATTCCACCATCTACTCACTGTCCCTCATCGTTGGTGTCTTCTCTAACTTCATGACCCAAACCACATGGGGAGCCCCCACCAGGGCCAGCAATCACCCTCTCCCTGCATGGCTCACCCTCAGCCTCCTCCTGGCCTGGGTGACCCTTACACACCTTCTCTCTGTGCTCACACATCCAACCCTCCTTCCCCATTCTTATCTCAGCTGACAACCTTGGTTCCTACCTCACTGAGAAAACTGAACACATTAGAAGACAGATTCCATCACCATCTGCTCATGCATTTGCAGCTGCAACACATGTCAGGTGTTTTACCATGTTGGGGACTGTTGTGGGTAAACCATTCTGCTCCCATCAGAGCCAGTCCCTCTTCTGGTGCCCAAAATGTCATCCCTTATCATCTACTTAAAGGTGTCAGTTCATCAATTAATACCTTTTTTTCTCTTTATCATCAACCTTTTTCCTCTCTCCCCACTGGATCATTGTGGCAGTCATGAGAATGCACATCCCAGCCCCTCAGCTAGAGTAAGCAGAATTGATAGTGGCCTCAACTTTTGAATCCTGAAACCTATTGCCACATTTGCTCTGAGACCACACCTGCCCCCTGTCTTTTCCTGCCAATGACTGAGGAAAGCAGGGCAGAAACTAAGGCAGGAACATTTCTTCTCTGAAGGCTGACTGAAGCTCTAGGGCTTCCTGCCACGCTTACTGAACTTCTGTTAGCCTGCACAGGGTCTAGGATGCTTCCAGCTGACCTTCCTGCACTGTTTACCTCACTGGGGCTCAGAGTTGCTTTGTGGTCTGATGACATTCCCAGCATTTTCCGTCTGTGTCCTGAATTTCTCTCATAACTATTTCCTCTAATAAATCCTTGCACATTGAATACTGTATTGGGGTCCGCTCCTCAGGGGACCCTAACTAACACAAGTAGTATGAAGGGTGATCCATGAAAACAGGCAAAAATGAGAATTTGAAAAAAGCTTGCCCACTGCCTGGCAGGCCAAGAGGATGCCACCAGGGTTGTGGGAGACACAGAAATTCCATAGCACAAGATGCAGCCGAGCTGCTATGGGTCTCACCAGTGCTGAGCTGAGAGGATGCCCTGGTTAGGGGAAGCTATGGCAGGTGGGGTGATAGAATGCCCTGCACAATAATGACGGGGTTAGGGGGAAACCTACAAAGACAGTGGAGTTGGCTGGTTACTGCTCAGCTGCAATGATGCCCTGTGAAAGTATCATGAGAATCTGCAGATTGTTAACAGCTGTCACTGGCTACATGTGACAGCCTCTGCAGTGTCTCATGCACAGGTCTTTATCTCTTGTAGCGAAAGGGCAGATACCGTGGAATGGTAGCTGAAGACATCACTATGAGGGCCACAGTGCTCCAGAGAGGTTTGCCACTCAGCCAAGGCAGGCCTGTTACAGGAAAGTCAGGACCCTGGTGGGGAAACCTGAGATTCTGCAAACAGGAACAGGGTTATCCGATGGGTGCCCTCCAGGATCCTCTGGGCATGCATAGGAGGCTCACCCTTCTCTAGTAATGGTTCCCACTTCCTATGCTGGAAGATGCTACAGAAGTCTCACCCCCATGATACAGCAGGAATCCCACTGAAGAGCTTTGCAGGAACTAGCTGGCACGTCCCCATAGGAGGCCGAGGAGCACTTCTGGGATTGGAATTTGAGGGTGTTTGATCAAGGAACCAGAATTTCAAGCTGGAAGAATAAAAATCCTTTGGCTTGGAGGCACTTTCTCAAGGCATGGGTTTATCAAACACCCCAGGACTTTGATAAGGGGGGGGCCAAACCCACCGCTGGGGTGAATCCATATAGACTAGAAAAAATGATGCCTAACTCTCAACAAGGTAGACGTGACTTAGTTGCCCTGGAACTTGCACAGGATGGAATAACAAGGCTGAGGGAAGTGGGCATGGTGAAGGCCCACCAGTACCATGCTCCACAAGACGGTCCAAAGGAAACACCTTCCACCAGAGCCTCAGAAACGTGATGGTGAGAGGGACCTGCATCATTAAGAAATGTCGGGGTGTTGTCCTCTGCAGGCTGGATGTGATGGTAGTAAAGATGACCCAGAGTTGCATTTATTAATATCCCTGGGGAGAGTGTGGCCCTGAAGAGACAAAGACCAAATGGTGGCAGTGACCTGAAAAAGCCAGAGGGCAGAGTTACTATGGCAAACTAAAAGGAGTAGCCAATAGGACTCAAGCTGCAGGGAATGTGGGGAAGGATAGTAGAGGGTGGTGTCCCAGGATTAGGACAGGAAGCCAACAAGGGCGCTGCTTGATATCTATGATAAGAAAGCAAGAATTGAGAAGCAGGAGGGTGAAGGTGTTTGACCCAATACAAAGTCATGATCCCATCCTCAATGCCTAGACCTCAGCCAAAGTTCAGATTCAGATCTCAGTGACAGAGGAGGAGTCCATATCCCTAGGAGGAATACCCTGCAACTCCGTGGAAGTAAATGCTGGCACAATTCCCTCAGTCCTTCAGCAAAGGAACCTATAGCCATTTACTCAGGAGATTGTACACTGGCGAAAGGAAAGATGCAGAACTGGTCAGATTATTGACACTGAGTGAGAGCTGACATTGATGCCCAGATGCCCACAGCACTATCATGTCTCCCATCACAGTGGGGCTTACGGAGGTCAGGGAGTAAACCTGGACACATTACGGCCCACAATGGAACTACTGGATCCATAGACCCAGCCCTGGTTATCTTCCAATTCCCTGAGTGCATAATTAACACTGATGCACTGTTAAGTGGAGTCACCCCCACACTGGGTCCCTAGTCTGTGGAGTCAGGACTCTCATTGTGCTGAA
Source organism: Homo sapiens (assembly GCF_000001405.40). Classification (NCBI taxonomy): domain Eukaryota; kingdom Metazoa; phylum Chordata; class Mammalia; order Primates; family Hominidae; genus Homo; species Homo sapiens. Next base: position 1,171,928 of record NT_167247.2, read on the forward strand.
AGCCAAAGGGAAACCTCTGACGCTGCCCACATCCTGGCAAAAAAAAAAAAAAAAAAAATCATAGTGTGTCCCAGGGTGTGTCTTGAGGAAGACACTGAAAGTAATGTGGGGGTCACACCACCATTAGAGAGCTGAAGGATGTGGGATGGTGTTGGGGTTGTCTATTGTCTCTACATAATCCAGCAACCTGTCCCTGAGGAAGCCTGATGAGGACTAAAGAATGAATGAGATTACTCCAGGCCTGGCC